>NT_187635.1:0-144206 GCF_000001405.40 Homo sapiens
GATCCTTGAGGAATGGCCACACTGTCTTCCACAATGGTTGAACCAGTTTACACTCCTACCAATGGTGTAAAAGTGTTCCTATTTCTCCACATCCTCTCCAGCATCTGTTGTTTCCTGACTTTTTAATGATTGCCATTCTAACTGGTGTGAGATGATATCTCATTGTGGTTTTGATTTGCATTTCTCTGATGGCCAGTGATGATGAACATTTTTTCATATGTCTGTTGGCTGCATAAATGTCTTCTTTTGAGAAGTGTCTGTTCATATCCTTTGCCCACGTTTTGATGGGGTTGTTTGATTTTTTCTTGTAAATTTGTTTGAGTTCTTTGTAGATTCTGGATACTAGCCCTTTGTCAGATGGGTAGATTGCAAAAATTTTCTCCCATTCTGTAGGTTGCCAGTTCACTCTGATGGTAGTTTCTTTTGCTGTGCAGAAGCTCTTTAGTTTAATTAGATCCCATTTGTCAGTTTTGGCTTTTGTTGCCATTGCTTTTGGTGTTTTAGTCATGAAGTCCTTGCCCATGCCTATGTCCTGAATGGTATTGTCTAGGTTTTCTTCTAGGGTTTTTATGATTTTAGGTCTAACATTTAAGTCTTTAATCCATCTTGAACTAATTTTTGTATAAGGTGTAAGGAAGAGATCCAGTTTCAGCTTTCTACATATGGCTAGCCAGTTTTCCCAGCACCACTTATTCAATAGGCAATCCTTTCCCCATTGCTTTTTTTGTCAGGGTTGTCTAAGTTCAGATAGTTGTAGATGTGTGGTGTTATTTCTGAGGGCTCTGTTCTTTTCCATTGGTCTATATCTCTGTTTTGATACCAGTACCATACTGTTTTGGTTACTGTAGCCTTGTAGTATAGTTTGAAGTCAGGTAGTGTGATGCCTCCAGCTTTGTTCTTTTTGCTTAGGATTGTCTTGGTAATGCGGGCCCTTTTTGGTTCCATATGAAGTTTAAAGTAGTTTTTTCCAATTCTGTGATGAAAGTCATTGTTAGCTTGATGGGGATACTCTTGAATCTATAAATTACCTTGGGCAGTATGGCCATTTTCACAATATTGATTCTTCCTATCCATGAGCATGGAATGTTCTTCCATTTGTTTGTGTCCTCTTTTATTTGTTGAACAGTGGTTTGTAATTCTCCTTGAGGAGGTCCTTCACATCCCTTCTAAGTTGGATTCCTAGGTATTTTATTCTCTTTGAAGCAATTGTGAATGGGAATTCACTCATGATTTGGCTCTCTGTTTGTCTGTTATTGGTGTATAAGAATCCTTGTGATTTTTGCACACTGATTTTGTATCCTGAGACTTTGCTGAAGTTGCTTATCATCTTAAGGAGATTTTGGGCTGAGACGATGGGGTTTTCTAAATATACAATCATGTCATCTGCAAACAGGGACAATCTGACTTCCTCTTTTCCTAATTGAATACCCTTTATTTCTTTCTCCTGCCTGATTACCCTGGCCAGAACTTCCAACGCTATGTTGAATAGGAGTGGTGAGAGAGGGCATCCCTGTCTTGTCCCAGTTTTCAAAGGGAATGCTTCCAGTTTTTGCCCATTCAGTATGGTACTGGATATAGGTTTGTCATAAACAGCTCTTATTATTTTGAGATACCTTCCATCAATACCTAATTCATTGAGAGTTTTTAGCATGAAGGGTTGTTGAATTTTGTCAAAGGCCTTTTCTGCATCTATGATGATAATCATGTGGTTTTTGTCTTTGGTTCTGTTTATGTGATGGATTATGTTTATTGATTTGCATATGTTGAACCAGCCTTGCATCCCAGGGATGAAGCCAACTTGATCTTGGTGAATAAGCTTTTTGATGTGCTGCTGGATTCGGTTTGCCAGTATTTTATTGAGGATTTTCACATCAATGTTCATCAGGGATATTGGTGTAAAATTCTCTTTTTTGTTGGGTCTCTGCCAGGGTTTGGTATCAGGATGATGCTGGCCTCATAATTAGGGAGACATGAGACATCAATCAATATGTATAAGGTGTACATTTGTTCCATCCAGAAAGGCAGTACAACTGGAGGCGAGGGAGGGGGCCTCCAGGTCATAGTTAGATATAAGAGGCAAACAGTTGCATTCTTTTTAGTCTCTGATTAGCTTTTCACTGAATACACACTTTACATGTGCAAGGAGTGTAGAGGAATAGTCATTTGTGCCTTAGTCTGGCTTAGTGAAACAATAGGGCAGATGAAGCAAGCAGATAGGCATTTGTCTTACATGAGCAGAGGGATGACTTTGAGTTCTGTCTGTCTTTTGTGCACAAGGAATTTCCTTGTGGGCAAACTGTGAGGAAGGTATGTAACTTTTTTTATTTTTGTAGTTATCTTATTTAGGGATTGAATGGAAGGCAGGTTGCCTAACGCAGTTCTCAATTTGACTTTTCCCTTTGGCTTAGTGATTTTGAGGTCCCGAGATTTATTTTCCTTTCACAGCTCAAAGCTTTATTCATATCCCCATCCCACCTTATATAACTTCATCCTTTTAGTTCAAGAATTGCATTGTGTTATATGCAGAACTCAGCTTCTCTCTACAGACAGACCTAGGTTCTATTCCCATTGAGCCACAGAAAAGATAGGATGCCAAGTCATTTAATGATTCTAAGATTACTTTTCTTTATCAGCAGAATGCTAATACTATAGTCTGTTCAGGGTTGCCTGAGGAATGCATATCTAATATATATGAAGAGCTAAGCACAATACCTGTCATATAGCAGATGCTCATGTTGGGGCATTTCTCTGCCTTCCTTCTCTTCTGCTAAATCCACTTCTGAGCCGTGAGTGCAAATACATGACAAAAAATCGGTTCAGAAATGTGAAAGAGGTCCCAGCTCAAAAAGCCTGAAAACACAGAGGATCTTTTAGAATTTTGCCAAGGGGCTACCCAGAATCTGGACTTTAATCCCTTTATTCCCCAACTCTCAAGTCCCTGCACAATTGGATTTTGCCTACTTAGTGTTTTCTGTGTAGATAGCACTTTACTTTATTACTAAAGCATCACTTGTTCTCTTTTTGTATGTTGGGATAAACTTTTGTTTTAATCCTGTAAGTGGAGCATCTAAACTTTTTCTTGTGATTAGAAATGAATACGTTTTTTCTGCCTGTCAAAGCCAATCAGTAAGAAAACATACCTTGGAGCAGCATTGTTCTAGGATTTATTCTATATAGCTGTGAGAATCAGATTTCTAGAAGGTCTGTAACCCTCTAACCATTGCCCCAAAAAGAGAAAAGAGAAAGAAAGAGAGAGAGAGAGGAAAAAGAAAGGAAGGAAGGAAGGAAGGAAGGAAAGAAGGAAGGAGAAAAAAAAAAGCTGGTGGCTTCAAAGAACCTTTCAGAGAAAATAGTTATCAGGTTAGAGTGGGCAAGCTTCTTCTGGATAGATGAAGTCCAGGACCATTCTGAGAGTCCAGCAGTTTCCTTCTCCAAAGGAGCACAGACCAGCTACTTGAGGTATCACTTTAAAAAATATATTTAATGTTAATAAATACTAAATGTTTTCTGTGAGCCAGGCATTGTTCTAAGTTCTTTATATATCTCATCACATATATTCCTCCCAACAATTCTATGAGATTTGTTCTACTAGGCCCATTTTACATATGAGAAAAGTAAGACACAGGGAGTTTAGGTAACTTGCTCAGGGTCACACAGTTAGGTAATGGAAGGGAACTGGTAATTTGAAATCAGGTCTGACCTGAAACCAGGACAGACTTAAAGTCTGTATTTTTAAGCACTATTCTCTACTGCCACCAATACATTCCTCTACAAATTTGTGAATCTTCGTGCCCTATCCCTAAATTTGCAAATATCTTTGAAATGTATATTACATGATCCTTATCAGTTACTGCCATCTCCATTTGTGAGTTTCAAATACTTTTTTCAATTCCTTTCTTCATTTGCTAAACATTTACTGAGCACTTACTTGGCACCAGGCATTCTAGGTATTTAGGGTATTAAAATAAAAATAAGATACATATACAGCTTTCTAAGAGCTGACAGTTTAGTCATCATGTGTCAAAGAATGAGTTTGATTTGTTGGGGGCAAGCAGGAATATATTGATAAGAAAGATTTTCTGTTTTTTCATCTATGTATCCCAACCCCTAGATCAGTGCTTGCCACAGAGTACGTACTCTAAGTAAATGAATAGATAAATGAAATGGGGCACTGAAGTCAAGGCTTATCACCTTTCTAGTTCTGCAAGAAGTCCTGATGACAGATGTCATGGGAAAGATTGTAAGGTCTTAGGCCCTTGAAGAAGTTCCAAGAAAGCAGTTTCCCCCACAGATCTTGAGACAAACAACAAACAGTGCCCTCTGAGCAGCCTGTACCTGGTACAGTGACAAATCAAAAAATGAAACAAGAAATGAAAGAAGTACATTCTGCCTGTCAAACATGTCTAAGACCCACATGGAGTTTAATTCACCACTCTTGGCTAAGCAGTGTGGTCAGTGGTGAAGTACCTGCTTAATTTCCTATGTAGGCAAAATGGTTGACCACATAAGATATAGTAGGACATACTATAAGAATGCCAATCTGCAATTGTGTCTGCTCAAAGATATGACCACTACCTTACCCCTTATTTAATCCCCAGAACTGATTGGCCTGCCACAGTGCTTGAAATTCCTACTCCTTTGCTTTAGTGCAGTGGTTAAAATTAAAAAAAAAAAAAAAAACCCTATGGTGAACCAGATCTTAACAAGAGCTATAAATAAGAAACTACCTAGAAGTATGAGGCATTAGCCAAGCACAATTTGAATGAGTAAGGGAGAAAGTTAGCCCTGAATATACCTGAATATACTAAGACCAAGGTTAGGTATGACATCCCAGTAAGCTGGGTGAGAGCTTGACCTAACTAGCCTCAGACATCTCATGCATTTTGAATTCTCAAAAACAGTTTGTTCAGAACCCTCCCAGGCTGTTTTTTCATTTTCTTTTTTTTTTTTTGAGACGGAGTCTTGCTTTGTTGCCCAGGCTGGAGTGCAGTGGTGGGATCTCAGCTCACTGCAAGCTCCGCCTCCCGGGTTCACGCCATTCTCCTGCCTCAGCCTCCCGAGTAGCTGGGACTACAGGCCCCCACCACCATGCCCGGCTAAGTTTTTGTATTTTTAGTAGAGACGGGGTTTCACCGTGTTAGCCAGGATGGTCTCGATCTCCTGACATTGTGATCCGCCTGCCTCGGCCTCCCAAAGTGCTGGGATTACAGGCTTGAGCCACCGCACCCGGCCTGTTTTTTCATTTTTAATTCCACCTTCCACATACGAAGCCCTGGAGCATATATACAACTCACTGTTCACATGTCTTGGACAGTCCCAACAAGCTTGTTAAGATGGTATATCCAATAGCTGTTTATATAGAAAAAAATTTTCCGCCATAAGAAAGTATACCAGGATTGTGTTAAGTGATAGGATGGATTCTGCCACTGAAGTCTGGGAGTACCATTATCTCTGTGGAGTGGTACACACATACATCAGGATACTTCTTGGTTACTGACAAAGTGATTTATGAAAGAATATATATACATATACAGTCATGTGTTGCTTAACCACAGGAATACATTCTAAGAAACATGTTGTTAGACAATTTTGTCATTTTTAGAACATCATATGGTGTACTTACAAAAACCTAGATGGTATAGGTATAGCCTTCTATACACCTGGGCTATATGGTATAGCCTATGGTTCTTAGGCTACAAACCTGTACAGCATATGACTGTACCTAATACTGTAGGCAACTGTAACACAATGGTAAATATTTTTATATCTAAATGTATCTAAACATAGAAAAGGTACAGTAAAAATATGGTATAAAGGATTTAAATAATGACACACCTGTATAGAGCACTTACCATGAATGACGCTTGCAGGACTGGAAAGTTGCTCTGGGTGAGTCAGAATGAGTGGTGAGTGAATGTGAAGGCCAATGACTTTACTGTACACTACCATAGACTCTATAAACACTGTGCATACTTAGGCTGTATGAAATTTACTAAAAACATGTTTTTCTTCAATGAAAAATTAACCTTAGTTTACTGTAACTTTTTTACTTGATAAAACTTTTATTTTCTTTAACTTTTTGGTCTTTTTGTAATAACACATTTTTTAAAACACAAACACACTGTACAGCTGCACAATATATTTTATTTATATTCTTTCTCAATAAGTTTTTTTCTATTTTTATTTTTTTTTACTTTTTAAACTATGTTGTTAAAAACGAAGACACAAATACACACATTAGCTTAAGCCTGCACAGGGTCAGGATCATCAATATTACTGTCTTCCAGTGCTACATCTTCTCTCATTGGGTCTTCAGGGGCAACAACACACATAGAACTATTGTCTCCTATAACAATGCCTTCTTCTGGAATACCTCCTGAAGGACCTGCTGAAGATGCTTTATAGTTAAAGTTTTTAATAAGTAGGAACACACTCTAAAATAATGATAAAAATGTAGTAAACACATAAACCAATGACCTTGTAGTATCTTTTTTTAAATTTTATTTATTTATTTATTTATTTATTTTTTGAGACAGAGTCTTGCTCTGTCGCCAGGCTGGAAAGCAGTGGCATGATCTTGACTCACTGCAGCCTCTGCTTCCTGGGTTCAAGAGATTCTCCTGCCTCAGCCTCACAAGTAGCTGAGACTACAGCACGCCACCACACCCAGCTAATTTTTGTATTTTTAGTAGAGACGGGGTTTCACCATGTTGGCCAGGATGGTCTCGATCTCTTGACCTCATGATCTGCCTGCCTCGGTCTCCCAAAGTGCTAGGCTTACAGGCATGAGCCACCGCACCCCGCCGACCTTGTAATTTCTTATCATTATCGAGTATTATGTGGTATACATAATTGTATGTGCTATGCTATTATATGACTGTTAGTGCAGTAGGTTTGTTTATACTAGCATCATTGCAAACACATGGGCAGTGTGTTTGAACACTGGGACATTACATCAACTATGATGTCATTAGGCAATAGGAATTTTTCTGCTCCATTATAATCCTATGGGACCACTGTCACACATGTGGTTCATACATACACTGGTTATTTGGTGCATGACTATATATGTACGAATGTGTGTGTGTGTGTGTGTGTGTGTGTTCTCTTACAGAGATGAGGATGAGTATGAAGGCATCATTGAAACATAAGAAATATATAAATACGACTTTGCCAACTGAGTCGCAAAGCATATACTTTCTTTCCCAAAATGAAGAAAATGGTTTTATGTATAAAAACGTAAATAGGTCATATGCAATTAAACTTCTGCTTAATAAGCCCATGTAAATTCTTAATAAGTCAGTGGACCCATGACGTTTTTTGAGCAATATACTTGGTCACAATCTATCTGCTGAAAGAGAGTTAAATCAACTGATGTAATCATATGCATTTGTCTTCTTATCATTTTGAATTATTGAAAATCATTGCCTTAAGAATAAAGATGCTATTTTTTGAACCCATTAACCATCCCTACTTCCCTTGCCAGCCTCCCCACTACCCTTCTTAGCCCCTGATAGCCATCCTTCTACTCTCTGTGTACATGAGTTCAATTGTTTTGTGTTTTGATTTTTAGATCTCACAAATAGGTGAGAACATGTGGTGTTTGTCTTTCTGTGCCTGGTTTATTCCACTTAACATAATGATCTCCAGTTCCGTACATGCTGTTGCAAATGACAGGATTTTTTTATGGCGGAATAGTACTCCATTGTGTAATTGGATTGTTTGTAACATAAAAGATAAATGCTTGAGGGGATGAATACCCTACTCGCCACGATGTGATTATTTTTCATTACATGCCTGTATCAAAACATCTCATGTACCCTGTAAGTATATACACCTACTATGTATTACTACCCACAAAAATTAAAATTAAAACATTTTTAGAAGATGCTGAGTAATATTAATACATTACATTTCTACAGTTTTTTATAGTTTAGTAAGCACATTGATGTATATTATCTCATATAATCCTGCTGAACTCCCTCTGAAATAGTTACTGTCCTATTTTACAGCTGAGGAAACTGAAAATCTTAGTTAAGTGACTTGCTCATTGTTTGTTAAAGCAGGGCCATGCTTGAGCCCAGTTCTTCTGGCTATAATACAAAAGCTTTAGCCACTTTATTCTTGTTATGGAAAACCTTTACTTTTGTCCATTGGTAACAATGATATTTCAAACACTTCGGTAAAATTCCATAAATACATTATGCCATGTAACATTTTCTTAAATAGCAAATCTAAGAAACTGCCTTCTGGAAAATATCATGAAGCAGTTATATATTTTCCTATATTGGAATGATTTGAAGAGCAAGGTCAAGAGAGAGTGAGCAGTTCATTTGGTTAATATGGTTGCTAAGGCAATAGGAGTCTTTCACTTTTTATCTTTTTGAAAATCAAATGCTTGGAATGAACACCACAGTTAAACAGGTGCTGAATTGATGCCAAAAGCTAGTGTGCCTGAACATAGCATTTGTTTGAGTCTTTTTTTTTTCTGAAGACAAAATGCCTTTTACAGAATCCTCAAATTAATTCAGCAGCCAAGTAGTATGAGAAATGTCATAATTTTGTAGGTAATTCGCTGGGAAAGGCACTGTATTATAGACCTAGGAAGACGGCATTCCTGGAAAATCTCCAGTGGCATTCAGCAGAAAGCTATTCCAAGAAACCTTGGGTTATTCTGTCCACCACAGTTTACCTCAGTTTCCCATCTGTACAATGATGGATGGACTTTGCTAAATAACATATAAAGAGCCATTATAACTCTGATATCCTGTAGTTCTTTGAAATTCAATCAACTGTCTTACTGAAGATATTTTTTCTTTGGTTCTAAAAAGTACCCAACATTTATGCCTATCAAAATTCAATCTGAAAATTCAGAAGAGGTGAAAGAATAGAGCTCTTTTTGACCAAGGCAGAGATGTCATTAACCTTGCATCAGTTCTGGTCCTTAAATTTAATTGGGAGCACCTGAACCTTAGATCAAGCCAGGCAGTCTACTCCTGACTCTTACTAACTCTGGGTAAAGCACCCTAGGCTTTCTTCTTTGATGTTAGTGAGCAAACAATTGGGCTCACTTAAGTATGGCTATTATAAAGGAGAATCAATGAATGTATGGGAAAAGGCTGAAGCCCTTCTATTGTAAAGGTGTTTTGAAAGTAACACACGGACACGTAGAGGGGAACAACACACGCTGGGGCCTATTGAAGGTAGAGGGTGGGAGGACAGAGAGGATCAGGAAAAATAACTAATGGATACTAGTACTTTTATCACCTGAGTGACAAAATAATCTGTTCAACGAATCCCCCATGACACACATTTACCTATGTAACAAACCTGCAAATGTACCCCCTGAACTTAAAAGTTTTTTAAAAAAATGAGTACATTCTTATTACAACTAGATGACTATATGTAATATGTATTTCATAGTTGATAGCTCCTCATTGCTCTTGGAAAATCAAGCTTTTATTGGCTGAGTGAGGATATTTTTATTAGATGTAAGCTTCTACACAGAAGTGGTGTGGATTAATATTAAAGGATCCAAGTAATAATAGAAGCAAATCATACTTTTTCCACCTCACCTCCCTAGCTGCCTGATGCCTTGAAAAGTCATGCTTCTTTTAAAAATAGTAATGATAAAGAAACTGTTTTGTTCTGTAATCTCCTCAATTTTTATATCCAGGCCTTACACAATATTAGCATCATTGTGAATATTAAAGACTTGCTCTTCTTCTAAAAAACTTTGTATTTACTTTAGCTATATGATAATTGCTGCCATATTGAATAATTTTAATAAAGTGTTGTAATTTTTAAAAGGCTTACACCCAGAGTTTTCATATCTGTTAGCTAATATCTTATCAATTTATCCTTTGGGATCCATATCTAACGTTCTGGTCATCAGTGACATATTTGTTGTTTGTGACTTTTATTGCCAATTATATGGTGGCCATTTGGTGTTAAAAATATATGTAAAGGTAAATGTATCTTTTAAAACATCTTGTACTTTGGATCAGACTCAAAATAGCTTAAAGTAATCTTGCAAGTTCATTAGTTCCTTTCCCTTTAACTTTAAATCTTTTACAAAAAAAAGAGAAAAAAAACCTTTGACTCAAAGCATATGTAATGGTTAAGGATCATTCACACAGGTGAGCTGAATTGAGCTGATTAGTTGTTAAGTGCTTACAGCTGTTAGTTTTGACATTGAGGAAATTATAGAAGACCAGACACATTTCTCCACTTAACTTTAACTGGAGAAGATATGAAGCAAGCATCCTAAAGGAAAATATAATTGTTATGAGAATTAGTTTTCTTAGATTTGCAAAGTAAAATAAAGAAAAAATGAAAGGTAAAAACACAAACTGCCAAAGACTTATTCAATTAACGAATATATCAGGAGAGTTTGAACAGCATCTTGTCTTGAAAGGAAGTTTATAATGGGAAGTCATTCAAACATCTTAAAGTCAACTTAATGAAATGTAGAGTTCCTCTGCGGAATTGCTAACATTTTTCTCTCTCAAATTTTGATGACAGCTTGAAATTTAAAATATTTCATCGAAAGTTGAAATCTTGTGTATTCTATACAATGGATTGAGACCTCCTAAAAATGTCAGAGACAGACAGAATTATCTTTGTGGCAGATAGCCTAGAAAATGTCCTCAGTTTGGCAGGAGAATTGATTGAACCTGGGAGGCAGAGGTTGCAGTGAGCCAAGATCGCGCCACTGCACTCCAGCCTGGGTGACAGAGCAAGACTCTGTTTCAAAAAAAAAAAAAAAAAAAAAGTGCTCAATTTAATGTTAGGACCATAAAACATGTATATAGCTAAGTTTAAAAGAAAAAATAAAAACAACCTTGGAATTTTTTTTGAATAGACAGTTTCATTGCCTAAAAGCAGCAACAAGCATAGCAAAGTGAAATCTGTAGTTGCTCATTTCTGAAAATTGAATGTTATTATTTAATCCATCTTGAACACAATTGCCACATGAAATACCATTATTGTTGCAGTGTTCTCTTCTGCAGACACTTCTAGTGGATCCCAATTGGGAGCCAGATTAAACCTCCGAGGCTTTTTCCAGTAGGCAAGCCCCTCAAAGATTCAATCTTAGCCCACCTATCACTATATTAGGACTTTGACAGCCATGGTCCAAACTAAGGGATTTGTCAGCAGCCATAGTTTAAGCAACTAAATTGAAAAGCCAATGTAACATTAAATTGAGCACTGGCACACAATGGAGAAAGGCAAACACTACACATCTAAATAGACTGCATTTTAACCTAAAAAATTACAGAGTTAGAGACAATGGATAATTGAAAAAAACCGTGTTGATAAGCTTTAGTCCTGGGGACTTGCTGAACATTGGCAACCCCAGGGCATAGAGATTAATTGTGGGTGGAAAGGTGAGAATCTTTACCTCAACAGAAGCAGGAGCAGAGTCACCTGGAGCATATCACCTTTCTGATCAAACTCAGCCCCTCTTTAGTCTATCCATTGTTCTTAGTACATTCTACTGTGTCTTTGTTCATGTGCTTCTCCAATTGTAGAGTATCTACCAAGGGGTAGTATAGTATGGCGTTTAAAATACATACTGCCCATGCTTCAATCTGCCACTTACTTCTTGTATTATCTTGGGCAAGTTAGTAAGTGTGCTGCTTCATAGGGCAATTGAGATTATTAAATGAGTTAATATATAAAATGCTGAAGAATGTGTCTGGCACAGAGTAGCTGCTAGGCAAGTTTTTGCTATTACTATTTTTCTTCCCCCCTTCGTCAAAGACCAGTTTAGCTCCCATCAACTCCAGGAAGTTACATAACATACTGGTGCTCCTATAAACTCCTATCACTTATAATCACCGTGAGAGTCCATTGGTGTTATATTTATGTCACCATAGAAAATAATTCACAGTGTTTTAACATTACAGGCATGGGTCATTTAACAATGAGGATACATCCTGAGAAATGAATTGTTAGGTTATTTCATCATTGTGAGACCATCATAGAATATACTTACACAAACCTGGATGGTATAGCCTCCTACACATCTAGGCTATATGGTATAGCCTGTTGCTCCTAGGCTGTAAACCTGTACAGCATGTGAATGCACTCAATAGTATAGATAATTGTGTAATACAATGGCATATGTATATATAACCATATCTAAACATAGAAAAGGTAATGACATCAATAGGCAATAGGAACTTTTTAGCTCCATTATAATCTTATGGGACCACCATCATATATTCAGTCTGTCACTGACTGAAACGTCATTATGCAGCACATAACTGTATTTTAAACTGTCTTTTCTAATGTGTTTAAGTCTTGCCTCTTCATATAGACTATAAACTTGAGAACAGGAGCCATGCCTTATGCATTTATTCTCCCTCTAAACATATCATTGCATAGAGGAGACACTTAAGGAATATTTTTAAATAAATAAATCGATTAACTAGTTATCACAGGTGACAGATTTCACTCTAGACTCAAACATCTTAACCACAAGAAAGAAATGAGTATTTCTCCTTCTCTGAATTATAGCAGCAGTAAATGCTAGTGGTTATGGTTTTACTCTAAAAAGAGAGTAACCTTGTATTTTAATTACAGGTTCCCAGCCTGTTTTAAAGAAAAGGCATTTCAGCCATGGCAAAATGTTTCCTAATGGGAGAGTAACTATTCAGTGTTGAAACCTGCGCTAAGATTATAAACAGTTTCACATATTTTCTTGAATGAAAAATACAGATGAAACAGCAAAATAAAATTCCCAGGAAAGTTCTCTAATGTATTTCATAAGTGAGTATAAAACATCTAATGCAGTTAGGGACCCACAGAACAGGACTTGATTGAACATTACATATTAAAATGTTGACAAACATAGTCAAAATTACAGTGGTCCAGGATTTATAAAACACTTCACATCATGACACATGTAGAGAATGATTATAATGATGATTATAATGCTTATATGACACACTGAGGCAAGCAAAAAGGATTTCTCAAATCAGGGGTAAATGGTTCTAGGACTCTTGTCACTTTATCCCGAAGGACTCTGGCCACTTCAGGTCCTGGCCTACTCCTCTGAGTACTGCAATAACACAAATCTCAGTATACCTGTAACCCATTCACAACACACCCATTAGTTGAGGAATTCTGCTGCTTTTGCAACACGAAGCACTTTAATCTGTAACTTTCAATGCAAAACAAGGAAGGTGTGACAAGAACGTGTAAACCCAGATATGGCATTCATTTTGTTGCATTACTGTGTGCAATAGTCTTTGAGTCTTGCTCAATTGAACAGTTGTACAGCCTACTATCAAGAAGCATTCCTAGCAGAGACTGGTTTCAGTGCAAATCATACTATGTGTCACTTCATTTTTTTCTCATTTATTTATTAATATACTCAATGAGCATTGATTGAGTGCCAACTGTGTGATAGATTCTGTGATAGATACAGATAAAAATGATACCATTGAATTCTGGTAGATACCACAGTAAGAAGTGGATCCTGCTTCACACCTCTGAAGCCATACTGGCCTCAAGCCCAGCAGTGATCTGCGGGTGGGGAGCAGGAAAAGCAAGGAACCCTGTCATACTGAGACTTTGATCCCTTCCCTCAGCCATTCACCAACTTGGCCCAGGACCCTATGCAAGGGTGTTCCTTTACTGTGAACAAACAGAAGACACCTCTCACCCCACTGGATCTGATGCTGTTCTGGCTAATTTAGCAGCAAGTTGGATGAGGCAAAAAGAATGATGGCCTTTGGCCACCATGCTCCACAGATCTGTGAACTGGGACAAACACTGTGTCCCAATTGCACATAATGCCGCCCTGTGTCAGCAATGATGGACAAAGGCCTCAATGGGTGGAAGGTGAGTCAAGCCCCTGAAGAACATAGATTTAGCATTATGGGCTGGGAGCAGAGGCTCACACCTGTAATCTCAGCCTTTGGGAGGCCGAGGCGGGCGGATCACAAGGTCAGGAGTTCAAGACCAGCCTGGCCAACATGGTGAAACCCCATCTCTGCTAAAAATACAAAAATCAGCCAGGTGTGGTGATGTGCACCTGTAGTCCCAGCTACTTGGGAAACTGAGGCAGGAGAATTGCTTGAACCTGGGAGGCAGAGGTTGCAGTGAGCCGAGATCATGCCACTGTACTCCAGCCTGGGCAACAGAGAGAGACTCCATCTCAAAAAAATATTATGTTTATAAATTCAACAGTTTAAAAGAACAAATACCTTTAAACCACAAATATAGAAAACAACAGAACTGAAAAATGGATAGTGAGAAAATTATATAACCAAAATAGAATTTTTTTTTTGGTTTAAAAGATCACAATAAGAAACAATTTTATAATAATAAAGACTTCCAAAAATCCACTCCTTCATAAAGCAGCAAGTAGCCATGCAAAAATTTGTCAAAATCAACTTTTTCAGAATGCCAGAAAATAACCCAATACTTGCAATAATCAAAGGAGTATTATTGTGGAAATATAGCTAAATATATGTCTGAACAGCAAGGTTTGAGATATTATTTACTCTGCCTTATTCCCATCCTCCTCCCAAGTTCAGGGTTAAACTTTATAATAGTCTCCCAATATCATATCTGTGAAAATTAACAGCCTAACACACACTGAAGAAGAACAGGTTTGGAGCTCCTCAAAAGTGTAATCCCCAGATTGTCATTACTTTTTGATATAAAAGGCACTTCCCTACAAAGCTATACTCTCAGGGCTTATCTTTATTTGTACTGACTCAGAGCTGACTCTTTGGGAAGAGCCCTTTTTATAGAGCATTTACCAAAAGTAATCAGTGACCATTTCTTAACACCACATATGCTAAGATATCAATACCAGTTGGACCTAACAAAACACTAACCGAAATTTTTTTTAAAAATCTGGGGAATGAGATATTCATAGTAGGCTTTGAAAAGCTCCAACATATTTCTAGGACTCTAAAAGACCACATATATGCCTACTTCTCTGTTTGTGTCCAGGAAAGACCTGAGAAGGCCCTAACCTCCTACCTATGGCTAACCTTGAGGCTCTATGCAAAGATAAAGTGAAATTTAAGGCAGAGATGTAAACTGCCTGCTGGGATATTGAAGGCATGCCCTGACACACACACAGAGCCATTTGCAAAGGCTGAGAGACTTAATAGTTCAAAGGATTTAAGGAAATAATTGTCCATCATTAGCTGATCACTAACTTAACTGCGCAGAGACTTCAATGGCAGTACAAACAAAAAATATGGACTTTATAAATTAGTCTAAAAATCACTAAAACAGGTGCAGGAGCTGCAGAAGAAACAAAAACAACAGCTAACAGAAACAACAAGCCCTGGGAGAGAGAGGGAATCTGATCATCAGAGTTGCCACATTATGTTATTTAAAATGTTCAGTAATTAACAAAAAATTATGCCAAATAAATTAGAAGAAATGGGAAATTATGGCCAATACACAAGTAAAAAAGAGATCAAAAGAAACTGCTTCTGAGGTGGCCCACATGTGGAATTTACTAGATAAAGACTTTAAATCAGCTACTGTAATCATAAAAAAGAACTAAAGAGAAATTATGGAGTTAAAAAGCAAAATAACTAAAATGAAAAAATTACTAGAGTTTGAACAGAAGATTTAACTGGCAGAAGAAAGAATTGGAAAACTCAAAGACAGAACAGTTGAGAATATACAGTCTAAGAAACATAAAGAAAAAAGAGGGAAGAGAAATGAACAGAGCCTTAGACACCTGTGGAATACCATCAATTGTATCAACAAATGCATGATGAAAGTTCCTAAAAGAGAGCAGACAGTGTAGGAGCAAAATAATATCTTAAAAAGTAATGGCTCGGCCGGGCATGGTGGCTCACACCTGTAATCCTAGCACTTTGGGAGGCTGAGGCTGGTGGATTGCCTGAGCTCAGGAGTTCGAGACCAGCCTGGACAACATGGTTAAACCCTGTCTCTACTAAAAATACAAAAAAAAAAAAAAAATTAGCCGTACATGGCAGCGTGCACCTGTAGTCCCAGCTACTCAGGAGGCTGAGGGAGGAGAATTGCTTGAATCCGGGAGGCGGAGGTTGCAGTGAGCTGAGATTGCGCCACTGCACTCCAGCCTTGGTGACAGAGTGAGACTCTGTCTCCAAAAGAAAAGAAAAAAAAGTAATGGTTCAAAACTCTCCAAATTAGAAAGAGAAAAATAAAACACACATATTAGTGTACACATCCAAGATGCTCAATGAACTCCAGATAGGATAAGCACAAAAAAGTCCACAGCTGGAAACATCATAGTCAATTTTTTGGAAGACAAATAGTGAATTTTGAAAGCATAAATAGAGAATCAACTCATCATATAGAAGGACTCTTCAATACAATTAAAGACTTGTCATCAGAAACCATGGAAACCAAAACACTACATAATGATATATTCAAAGTGCAGAAAGCAGAATATTATCAATGATTCTATACCCAGCAAAATTGTCCTTCAATAATGAAGGAGAAAATGAAAGAGAAAGTAAAGAACGAAGGAAAAATAAAGACATTCTCAGATAAAAACTGAGACAAATTGTCACTGATAGAACTGTCTTGGCCAGGCACGGTGGCTCATGCCTGTAATCTGAGCAATCTGGGAGGCCAAGGTGAGCAGACCACTTGAGGTCAGGAGTTAGAGACCAGCCTGGCCAACAAGGTAAAACCCCATCTCTATTAAAAATACAAAAATTAGTTGGGCATGGTGGCAGAAGCCTGTAATCCCCACTATTTGAGAGGTTGAGGCTTGAGCCGAGATGGCACCACTGCACTCCAGCCTGGGCAACAGAGTGAGACTCTATCACAAATGTAAATAAATATATACAAATAAGAACTGTCTTATAAAAAATACTAAAGGGAGTCCTTCAGGTGGAAACAAAAGGACCCTAGACAATAAGTCAAATCCACACACAAAAAAGTAATGAGCATGAGTACAGGTAACTACATATGTTAAATATTAAACAATACATAAATGCATTTTTGTTTTTGACTCTTTTCTTTCCAAATTTTATTATAAGTTCAGGGGTTACATATGCAGGTTTCTTACAAAGGTATATTGTGTAATATTGAGGTTTACAGTATAATTGAATCCTTTTCCCAGATAGTGAGTATAGTACCCAATGGGTAATTTTTTAGCCTTTGGCCCCTTCCTCCCATTCTCTTCTTGTATTCCCTAGTGTCTATTGTTTTCATGTTTATGTCCATGCAGACTTAAAGTTTAGCTACCACTTATAAAGTGAGAATATGAAATATGTGGTTTTCTCTTCCTGTATTAGTTCACTTAGGATAATGGCCTACAACTGGATCCATATTACTGCAAAAGACATAATTTCATTCTTTTATGGCTACATAGTATACCATGATGTATATATACTACATTTTCTTTATCCAATCCAGACTTGACAAGCATCTGGGTTAATTTCATGTCTTTGCTATTGTGAATAGCACTGTGATAAACATACATGTATATGTGTCTTTTTTGTAGGTCAACTTATTTTCCTTTGATTATACACCCAGTAATAGAATTGCTGGATTGAATGGTAGCTTAACTCTTAATTCCCTGAGACATCTCCAAACTGCTCTCCACAATGGCTAATTTACATTCCCATTAACAAAGTATAAGTGTTCCGCTTTCTCAGCAGCCTCACCAACATCTGTTGTAGTTAAGCTTTTTAATAATAGCTGTTCTGACTAGTGTGAGATAATATCTCATTGTATTTTGATTTCCATTTCTCTGATGATTAGTGATGATGAGCATTTGTTCATGTTTGTTGAACACTTGAATATCTTCTCTTGAGAAGTGTCTGTTCATGTTCTTTGCCCACTTTTTAATGGGGTTATTTGTTTTCTGTATGTTGATTTAAGTTCCCTATAGATTCTTGATATTAGGCTTTTGTCAGATACATCATTTGTGAATATTTTCTCCTATCTGTAGGGCATCTGTTTACTCCCTTGATAGTTTCTTTTGCTGTGCATAAACAATTTCATTTAATTAGGTCCAACCTGTCAATTTTTATTTTTGTTGCAATTACTTTTGAGGTCGTAGCCATACAGCCAACTTACAGAAACAACAAAAATCCTCAGAGACTATTATGAAACACCTCTATGCATACAAACTAGATAATCTAGAAGAAATGGATAAATTCCTGAAAATACACAATCTTCCAAACTGAACCAGGAAGAAACTGAAACTTGGAAGAGACTGATAAAGGGGTCTGAAATTGAATCAGTAACAAAAAACCTACCAATCAAAAAAGCTCTGGGCCAGATGGATTCAGAGTCAAATTTTACCAGACATACAGAGAAGAGCTGGCACCCATCGTATTAAAACTACTCCAAAAAATTGAGGAGGGACTCACCCCTAATCCATTCTATGAAGCCAGAATCATTCTGATGCCAAAATCTGGCGGAGACGCAATGTAAAAAGAAAACATCAGAGCAGTATCCCTGATGAACTTGGATGCAAAAGTTCTGAACAAAATACTAGCAAATCAAATCCAGCAGCATATTAAAAAGTTAATTCACCAAGATCAAGTGAGCTTTATTCCTGGAATGCAACATAGTTTCAACATATGCAAATCAATAATTGTGATTCACCACATAAACAGGATAAAAAACAAAAACTACATGACCGTCTCAATAGATGTGAAAAAGCTTTTGATAAAATTCAACATGACAAAAACCTTTATGACAAAAACCCTCAACAAAATAGGCATCAAAGAAGCGTACCTCAAAATAATAAGAGCCATCTAGGACTAGAAGCAACTACTGCACACCACTCTCATGGATAGAAGAAAAAGTAGTGAGTAAATACCAGAACTTCAACAGAAACATCCAGGTGGACAAATTGAGATTTATCATGGAAAGAGCTTGAGCCACAGAGAATGGAGAGGAGTGAGACAGGAGGACCACCCACCAGGGAGTGGCACAGAGCCAGGCAAGGCTTTCCCATTGTGGAGAAATGGTGAGTGAATGAGTGAGAGTCCCAGGGGAACCATACTTTTTCTGCAGACCTTTCAACCCTGGGCTCAGGAGATTCCTTCATGAGACCATCCCACCTGGGCCTTCACATTGTCACACAGAGCTGCGGGGATTTTGGGCAGAGCCACCACTGAGGAACACATGGGGTCTCAGGAACTTTGGCTCCTCGGGCATCCCAGTATTACTGGCTGCAGCTCTGTCAATGGGGGAGGTCAGGCTCCCTCACATGCCCCCAGGAAAGGGACCAAATCCAGAAGGCTGAGCAGCAGGGCCCCTGATCCCACTTTTCCTCTCTAGGTGGGACTTCCTGAACCAGGACTTGAGCCCCCCACTGCTGGGGCTCTCTGGCTGGTAGCACCTCTGCACTTCCCTGGGACAGAGCTCCCACAGGGAGAAGCAAGCTTCCTTTTTTGGCTGTCTCACAGCGCTCATCACTGTTGCCTTCAGGCTCCGGAGGGTGCAAAGTGACTAGGAATGGGTGTGGTTCCCCAGTACAATACAGCCGCCCCATGGAAAAGCAGCCAGTTTATATGCAGGTCCCCCATCTGGCTTCTCCTCCCTGGGAAGGACTTCCCAACTCAAGACTTCAGCTACCATCTGCTGGGGCTCCAAGCCGGTGGCAGCTCTGAGCAGCCACCCTATGGAAAAAGCAGCCAGGCCTTTTTCCACATGGGCCCCCAATCCCACTTCTTACTGGGCAGGCCCTCCCGCTTCCAACCTGGGACTCCAACATAACTACCCTACTCCCACATGAACACTTCAATTGGAGGTGAATCTGAAGTTCTGTGAGTAGAAAATTCCAGCGATAACCCACCTCCCTGCCATTGCAGCTGCAGTGGTACTTCCCTAACCACCCTTGTGCTGGGGAAGGAACTTAGGACTTAGTGCTATACTGGCACCTCCAGCACACTACAGCTGCCATATGGAGAGGAATCCTGGCCCTCTTCCCTGTGATTCCCCACTCCCCACTCTTCACCAGGGAGGGCCCCTGGCTCAGGACTGCAGATTAGCAACACCACCAATGGCTGAGACTACTCTCTGGTAGTGCCTTGGAGTTTTCCTAGGAAGAGGCTCCAAGAAACAACTGACAGCCCCTCTGCCACTGCTACAGCAGTGGTTCTACCCCAGCTGCCCTCTGTCAGGAAGAAACAAAGTGCCTGAGGGCTTCAGCCATACTCCTAGCACATGACTATCACCATACAGACAGGAGCTCAGTCTAGCCTCCCTGAGAGCCCATGATGGTCTGCTATTCAACAAGTGGAGCCCTTAGCTCAGTCTAGTAGTACAGCTGCCTTAACCCCTGGCTGAACATTCCCAGTAGCAGTGGCTCCACATTTCTCTGAGGTGGAGCACCCAGAGGCAGCTGAAAGCCTCTATCCCACTGCCACTGCAGTGGTACATCCCTTATGCTCTTGGACAGGAGAAGGAACAAAGACCTTGAGTTCTTTAACCACACCTCCATCAAGCTGCCATTTTTCTAAGGATAAGAGGCCAGTATGTCTCCCCTGTGACTCACCCACAACCCTGCTCATTATTAGGCAGGCCCCACAATGATTTGGGCCCATAGCACAGGTGCCCCATCACAGGCTTATCTCACTGATTGATAGTGGCTTTACATCTCTCTGGGGTGGAGCCCCAATAAATCAGTGAAAGGTCCTTTACCCCAACCACAGCTGAGGTCCCTTCCTTCAATGCCTCCAAGCTGGGGAGGTAACATAAAGCCAGCACTCACCTGAGAGATTCGATGTGCAGCCCAAGAGTGCCAAGCCAAGATCTGCAGCAAGCACTGAGGCAGAGCACAGGGGCAATTGTGAGGAAATACAGAGGAGGAAAATGACTCAGCAAGAGCTTAACTATTGGTCATTTTGCTTAAGTGCCACCTACTGAATTACAGAACAAAATTCCAACACCCAAAATACTTTTCTTTTTTTTTTTTTTAATTATACTTTAAGTTCTAGGGTACATGTTCACAACATGCAGGTTTGTTACATATGTATACATGTGCCATGTCGGTGTGCTGCACCCATTAACTCATCATTTACATTAGGTGTATCTCCTAATGCTATCCCTCCCCCTTCTCCCAACCCCATGACAGGCCCCGGTGTGTGATGTTCCTCTTCCTGTGTCCAAGTGTTCTCATTGTTCAATTCCCACCTATGAGTGAGAACATGTGGTGTTTGGTTTTTTGTCCTTGCAATAGTTTGCTGAGAATGATGGTTTCCAGCTTCATCCATGTCCCTAAAAAGGACATGAACTCATCCTTTTTTATGGCTGCATAGTATTCCATGGTGTATATGTGCCACATTTTCTTAATCCAGTCTATCATTGTTGGACATTTGGGTTGGTTCCAAGTATTTGCTATTGTGAATAGTGCTGCAATAAACACATGTGTGCATGTGTCTTTATAGCAGCATGATTTATAATCCTTTGGGTATATACTCAGTAATGGGATGGCTGGGTCAAATGGTATTTCTAGTTCTAGATCCTTGAGGAATCGCCACACTGTCTTCCACAATGGTTGAACTAGTTTGCAGTCCCACCAACAGTGTAAAAGTGTTCCTATTTCTCCACATCCTCTCCAGCACCTGTTGTTTCCTGACTTTTTAATGATCGCCATTCTAATAGATGTGAGATGGTATCTCATTGTGGTTTTGATTTGCATTTCTCTGATGGCCAGTGATGATGAGCTTCTTTTCATGTGTGTTTTGGCTGCATAAATGTCTTCTTTTGAGAAGTGTCTGTTCATATCCTTTGCCCACTTTTTGATGGGGTTCTTTGTTTTTTTCTTGTAAATTTGAGTTCATTGTAGATTCTGGATATTAGCCCTTTGTCAGATGAGTAGATTGCAAACATTTTCTCCCATTCTGTAGGTTGCCTGTTAACTCTGATGGTAGTTTCTTTTGCTGTGCAGAAGCTCTTGAGTTTAATTAGATGCCATTTGTCAGTTTTGGCTTTTGTTGCCACTACTTTAGGTGTTTTAGACATGAAGTCCTTGCCCATGCCTATGTCCTGAATGGTATTGCCTAGGTTTTCTTCTAGGGTTTTTATGGTTTTAGGTCTAACATGTAAGTCTTTAATCCATCTTGAATTGATTTTTGTACAAGGTGTAAGGAAGGGATCCAGTTTCAGCTTTCTACATATGGCTAGCCAGTTTTCCCATCACCATTTATTAAATAGAGAATCCTTTCCCCATTTCTAGTTTTTGTCAGGTTTGTCAAAGATGAGATGGTTGTAGATGTGTGGTATTATTTCTGAGGGCTCTGTTCTGTTCCATTGGTCTATATCTCTGTTTTGGTACCAGTAGCATGCTGTTTTGGTTACTGTAGCCTTGTAGTATAGTTTGAAGTCAGGTAGTGTGATGCCTCCAGCTTTGTTCTTTTTGCTTAGGATCGTCTTGGCAATGCATGCTCTTTTTTGGTTCCATATGAACTTTAAAGTAGTTTTTTCCAATTCTGTGATGAAAGTCATTGGTAGCTTGATGGGGATGGCATTGAATCTATAAATTACCTTGGGCAGTATGGCCATTTTCACGATATTGATTCTTCCTGTCCATGTACCCCACTGTAAAACCAGAGAGAGGAGTTCAGCTATAAATAAAGCCCCTGCACAAAGCCTGAGTCTTCTGAAATCATAGAGAAAGAAGTCTACTGACTATACTCTATTGAACACCAGCCCACAGAGTTGAGAAAGAACCAGCACAGGAACTCTGGCTACTCAAAATGCCAGAGTGGCCTTTTTCCTCCAAATGACTGCACTGGATCCCCAGCAAGAATTCTTAACAAGGCTGAAAGGACAGAAATAGAATTCAGAATAGGAATAGGATTGAAGATCATCAAGATTCATGAGAAAGTCAACACCAGGTCCAAGGAATCTAAGAATTGCCGTAAAACCATACAGGAGCTGATAGATTAAATGATAGTCATTTTGAAAGGAATCACGTTTGATAGAGCTGAAAAACACACTAAGGTAATTTTATAATGTAATCACAATTATTAACATCAGAATATACCAAACTGAGGAAGGACTCTAGAGCCCTGAGACATATTCCCTAAAACATATCAGTTAAACAAAGAAAACACATGAACAAAACATCTGAGAAATATGGACTTATGTATAGAGACCAAATCTACAACTAATTGGTCTCCCTGAAAGAAATGTGGTGAAAGGAAGTAACTCGAAAAACATATTTCAGGATAATTCATTAAGAATTCCCCAACCTGGCTAGAGAGGCCAGCATTCAAATTTAGGAAATACAGAAAATCCCTGTGAGATATTACACAAGAAGACCATCCCCAAGACATATAGTTATCAGATCATCCATTGTCAATATTAAATAAAAATGTTAAAGGCAGCTATAAAGAAGAGGCAGGTCACCTACAAAAGGCTAACAGCAGACTTTTCATAAGAAACTCTATAAGCAAGAAGAGTTTGGAGACTTATATTCAACATTCTTTAAAAAAATTTAAATCAATAATTTTATATTCAGCCAAACAAAGCTTCATAAGTAAGGGAGAAATAAAATCCTTTTCAGACAAGCAAATGTGGAGGAAATTTGTTAGCACCAGACCTGCCTTAGGAGAGGTCCTAAAAGGAGTGATAGCTATAGAAAAGAAATGTCGTTACCAGCCACTACAAAGCACACTTAAGTACATGGAGGAGTGACTCTATAAAGCAACCACACAAACAAGTCTGCATAATAACCAGCTAGCAGCATGTTGACAGAATCAAACCTACATACATCAATACAAACTTTGAATGTAAATGGGCTAAAGGACCCCAAAAAAAAGCACAGAATGGCAAGCTGGATGAAGGAGCAAGATCCAGTGGTATGCAGTCTTCAAGAGAACCATCTCACGTTCAATGACACAAATAGGCTCAAAATAAAGGCATGGAGAAAAACCACCAAACAAATGGAAAACAGGCAAAAGCAGGAGTTGGCATCCTAATTTCAGACAAAACAGACTTTAAACCAACAAGATAAAAAAAAAAGGAAGGACCTTACATAATGGTAAAGGGTTCAATTCAACAAAAATACTTAGCTATCATAAATATATATGTATCCAACATAGGAGCACCAAGATTCATAAAGCAAGTCCTTAGAGATCTTTGGAGAGACTTCACTTCAAACACAATAATATTTGGAGACTTAAACACCCCACTGACATTATTAGGCAGATGATTAAGGCAGGAAAATAACAAAGAAATTGAGAACCTGAACTCAACATTTAAACAAATGAACCTAATATACATCTACAGAACTCTCCACCCCAAAACAACAGAATATACATTCTTCTCATCACCACATGAAACATACTTTAAAATTGGGCAAACAATCTGATATAGTTTGACTGTGTCCCCACCCAAAACTCATCTTCATAAGATCTGATAGTTTTATAATGGGCTTCCACCTTTGCTGGACACTAATTCTCTCACCTGTTACCCTGTGACGAGGTGCCTTCTGCCATGATTGTAAGTATCCTGTACAGCTGTGCAGAACTGTGATTCAATTAAACCTGTGATTCAATTAAACCTCCTTTCTTTGTAAATTACCCAGTCTTGGGTATTTCTTTATAGCAGCATTAGAATGAACTAATACAGTAAACTGGTACCACAGAGAATAAGGTGCTACTATAAAAATACCCAAAAATGTGAAAGCAACTTTGGAACTGGGTAACAGGCAGAGATTTGAGCGTTTTGGAGGGCACGGAAGAAGATAGGAAGATTTGGGAAAGTTTGGAACTTCTTAGAGAACTGTTGTGTGGCTTTGGCCAAAATACTGATAATGACCTGTGCAAAGGAGTCCAGGTTGAGGTGGTCTCAGATGGAGATAGGGAACCTGTTGGAATCTGGAGTAAAGGTCCCTCTTGTTATGCAAAGGGACTGGTGGCATTTTGCCCCTGCCCCAGAGATAGGTGGGGCAATGAACCTGAGAGGTTATTTAGGGTATCTAGAGGGAAATATTTCTAAAAAACAAAATTCTAGGGAGAAAATCAAGCCTGCTGCAGAAATTTACCTAAGTAATGAGGAGCTGAATGTTATTCACAAAGACAATGGGGGAAGTGTCTTCAGGGTATGTCAGGGACCTTCAGGGAAGCCCCTCCCATCACAAGCCCAGAGGCCTAAGAGGGAAAAATGATTTCACGGGCCAGGTCCAGCCCCCCACCCTGCTGCTCTGTGCAGCCTCCAGACTTGCCACCCTGTGTCCCAACTGTGACTAAAGGGGGACAACTGTGACTAAAGGGGGACATCCTCTGCCTAGATTTCAGAGGATGTATGGCAATGCTTGGATGTCCAGGCAGAAGATTACTGCAGGGGCAGAGCCCTCATGGAAAATGTCTGCTAGGGCAATGTGGAAAAAATAATGTGGTGTCAGAGCCTGTACACAGAGTCCCCACTTGGCCACTGCCTAGTGGAGCTGTGAGAAGAGAGCCGCCATCCTCCAGACCCCAGAATGGTAGATCCACAGCAGCTTGAACCATACACCTGGAAAAGCCACAGATACTCAATGCCAGCCCATGAAAACAGACAGAAGGGGGGCTGAATCCTGCAAAAGCCACAGTTGTGGAGCCGTCCAAGGCCATGGGAGCCCACCTCTTGCATTAGCATGACCTGGATGTGAGACATGGAGTCAAAGGAGATCATATTGGAACCTTAAGGCTTATTGACTACCCTATGAGATTTTGGACTTCCATGGAGCCTGTAGCCCCTTTGTTTTGGCCAATTTCTCCCACTCGGAATGGTTGTATTTACAGAATGTCCCACTGTATCTAGGAAGTAATTAAGTTGCTTTTGATTTTACATGCTCATAAGAGATTTGCCTTGTCTCAGATGAAACTTTGGATTTGGACTTTTAAGTTAATGCTGGAATGAGTTAAGACTTTAGGGGACTATAAACATGGTAGGATTGTGTTTTGAATTGTGAGGCCATAAGATTTGAGAGGAGCCAAAGGTGGAATCATATGGTTTGGCTGTGTCCTTACCCAAATTTCATCTTGAATTTTAGTTCCCATAATCCCCATGTGTTGTGGGAGAGACCAGATGGAGATAAATGAATCACAGGGGCAGTTTCCCCTATCCTATTATCCTGATAGCAAGTCAGTTCTCATGAGATCTGATAGTTTTATAAGGGGCTTTCCCCTTCACTGGTCACTCATTCTCTCTCCTGCCACCCTGTGAAGATGTGCCTTATGCCATGATTGTACATTTCCTGAGGTCTGCCCAGCCATGTGGAACTGTAAGTCAATTAAACCTCTTTTCTTTATAAATTACCCAGTCTCTGGTATTTCTTCATAGCAGTGTGAGAACAGACTAATACACAATCAGACGTAAAATAATACTCAGAAAATAAAATAAAAATATACCAGCCACACTCTTAAACCACAGTGCAATAAAAATAGAAATCAATGCTAATAAAATTGCTCAAAATCATACAATAACATAGAGATTAAACAACATTATCCTGAAAGACTTTGGGGTAAATAATAACATTAAGGAAAAAATCAAGAAGTTCTCTGAAATTAGTGACAACAAATATACAAAATATGAGACTCTCCGGGACACAGCTAAAGTAGTGTTAAGAGGGAAGTTTATAGCACTAAATATCCATATCAAAAAATTAGACAGATTTCAAATTAACAAGCTAACATCACAACTAGAGAAATAAGAACAAACCAAATCTAAAAGAAGGAGATAAATCAAAATCAGAGCTGAATTTAAAGAAATTGAGACATGAAAATCTATTCAGAATATCAACAAATCCAAGAGTTGGTATTTTGATAAAATAAATAACATAGACCTCTCCTCTAGCTAGACTAATAAAAAAGAGAGAAGATCCAAATGAACACAATTCAAAATGACAAAGAGGACATTACCAATGGACATGAATGTCTGTGAAAACATCTATGCACACAAGCTAGAAAATCTGGAAGAAATTGATAAATTCCTGGAAACAAACGCTTTCTAAGACTGACCCAGGAGGAAGTTAAGTCTCCAAACAGACTAATAATGAGTTCCACGATTGAAATGATAATAAAACACCTACCAACAAGAAAAAGCCCAAGACAATTCAGATTCACAGCTAAATTCTACCATATGTATAAAGAAGAGATGGTACTATTTCTACTGAAATTATTTCAAAATTTGAGAAGAAAGTACTCCTCTGTAACCCATTCTACTGAGACCAAAATCATTCTGATACCAAAACCTGTCAGAGACACAACAAAGAAAGAAAACTTCAGGATAATATCCTTGATGAACCTCAGTGCAAAAGTTCGCAATAAAATACTGGCAAACTGAATCCAGCAGCACCCAAAAACCTTATCCACCACAATCATGTTGGCTTCATCCCCAGGATACAAGATTGGTTCAACATACATAAATCAATAAATGGGGTTTATCACATAAACCAAACTAAACACAAAACCCTCATAACCATCTCAATAAATGCAGAAAATGTTTTAAATAAAATTTAACATCACTTCATGTTAAAAGCCCTCAGTAAACTAGGCATAGAAGGAACATACTTCAAAATAATAAGTGCCATCTATGGCAAACCCAGAGACAACATCTTGCTGAATGGGCAAAAGCTGAAAGCATTTCCCTTGAAAACTAGAACAAGACAGGGATGCCCTTTAACATTACTCCTAGTCAACATAGCACTGACAGTCCTGCCAAGAGCAATCAAGCAATATAAATAAATAAATGCCACACAAAGAGAAAAAGAGGAAGTCAAAATATCCATGTTTCTACACATGATTCTATGTCTATAAGGCCCCATAGTCTCATTCCAAATGCTCCTTTGTATGATAAACAACTTTAGCAAAGTTTCAGGATACAAAAATCAATGTACAAAAATCAGTAGAATTCCCATACACCAACAGCCAAGCTGAAAGCCAAATCAGGAATGCAATCCTATTTACATAACCACAAAAGGAATATAATACCTAGGAATACAGCTAACTAAAGAGGCAAAAGATCTGCACAATGAGAATTACAAAACACTGCACAAAGAAATCAGTGATACAAACAAACAAACAAAAATTCCATGCTCATGGATAGAAATAATCAATACTGTTAAAATAGTAATATTACCCAAAACAATCTACAGATTCAATGCTATTCCTACCAAACTACCAATGACATTATTTGCAGAATTAGAAAAACTATATTAAAATTTGTATGGAAACAAAAGAGAGCTTGAATAACCAAGCAATCCTAAGAAATAAGAACAAAGCTGAAGACATCATGTTACATAATTTTAAACTATATTGTAAGGCTACAGTAACCAAAACAGTGTGGTACTGGTACAAAAACAAACTCATAGACCAATGGAACAAAATAGAGAGCCCAGAAATAATACCACACATCTACAACCATCTGATCTTTGACAAATCTGACAAAAACAAGCAATGAAGAAATGACTCTCTCTTTCTAAAGGTGCTGGCATAACTAGCTGGCCATATGCAGAAGACTGAAAGTGAAACCCTTCCTTACACCACATGCAAAAATCAACTCAAGATTGATTAAAGGTTTAAATGTAAAGCCTAAAACTATAATGCACTGAAAGATAACCTAGGAAATATTCTAGAAATATGACCTGGCAAAGATTTCACTACGAATACACCAAAAAATTTGCAATAAAAACAAAAATTTATAAGTGAGACCTAATTAAAGTGCTTCTACATAGCAAAATAAACTATTAACAGGGTAAACAGAAAACCTACAAATTGGTAGAAAATACTTGCAAACTATACATCTGACAAAGGTCTCATATCCAGAGTCTATAAGAAATTTAAATCAACAAGGAAAACAAAAAAATTAAAAAGTGGGCAAAGGACATGAACAGGCACTATTCAAAAGAAGACAAAAATATGGCCAATAAGCATATGAAAAATGGTCAACATCACTAATCATTAGAGAAATGTAAATCAAAGCCACCATCGGATATCATCTCACACCAGTCAGAATGACTATTGTGAAAATGTCAAAAGATAACAGAAGCTGGTGAGGTTGCAGAGAAAAAAAAAAAACTGCTGTGTGAAATGTAAATTAGTCCAGGTGTTGTGGAAAGCAGAGTGGCAGTTTCTCAAACAGCTTGAAACAGAATTATCATTTGACCCAGCAATATCATTATTCAATATATGCCCAAAAGAATATAAATTGATCTAAAAACACATGCAGGCATATGTTCTTTGCAGCACTGTTTACAATAGCAAAGATATGGAATCAACGTAAATGCCCATCAATGATAGACTGAATAAAGAAAATTTGGTACTTATACACCATGGAATACTACATGGAATGAGATCATGTCCTTTGCAGCAACATGGATGGAGCTGGAAGTCATTACCTTAAGCAAACTAATGCAGGAAAAGAAAATTTCATACTGCATGTTCCCACTTATAAATGGGAGCTAAACAATTAAACACATGAACACAAAAAGGGGAACAACAGACACCAAGTTCTATTTGAGGGTGGAGAGTTGGAGAAAAGAGAGGATCAGAAAAAAACTACCTATTGGATACTATGCTTATTCCCTTTGTGATTAAATAAACTGTACACTAAACCACCATGACATGCAGTTTACCTATAAAACAAACCTGCACATGTACCCCTGAACCTAAAATAAAACTTATAACAAAAAAGAGCCATCTATGAAAAACCCACAGCCACCTTCATACTGAATGGACAAAAACTGGAAGCATTCTCCTTGAAAACTGGAAAAATAAGAAGATGCCCACACTTACCACTCCTATTAAACATAATACTAGAAATGCAAGCCAAAGCAATCAGGCAAGGGAAAGAAATAAAATACACCAAAATTGAAAAAGAAGTCAAACTATGTTTCTTAGTGGATCTTATGATTCTATACCTAGAAAACCATAATGACTACTACAAATGCCCCCTGGAACTGACAAATGACTTCTGTAAAGTTTCAGAATACAAAATCAATATATAACCATCAGTTGTATGTATATACAGCAATAAAGTTCAAACTGAGAGCCAAATCAAGAACATAATCCCATTTACAATTGCCACCAATAAAGTAAAATAAATTACCTAAGACTATCTAACCAAAGAGTTGAAAGATCTCTATAAGAAGAACTACAAAATGCTACTGAAAGAAATCATAGGAAACACAAACAAATGCAAAACAACTTTATGCTCATGGATTGGAAGAATCCATATTGTTAAAGTGGCCATACCACCCAAAGAAATCTACAGATTTAATGCTATTTCTATCAAGCTATAAATGTCATTTTTCACAGAACTAGAAAAAATTTCCAAAATTTATATGGAACCAGAAAGTAGCACAAACATCCAAAGCAATCCTAAGCAGAAAGAATAAAGCTGGAGACATCCCATTACCTGACTTGAAACTATGCTATAAGACTACATTAATGATCCATTCCAAGATGGCCAAAATGAACAGCTCAAGTCTACAGCTCTCAGACTGATCGACACAGAAGATGGGTGATTTCTGCATTTACAAATGAGGTACATAGTTCATCTCATTGGGACTGGTCAGAAAGTGGAAGGAGCCCACTGAGGGCAAGCCGAAACAGGTCAGGGCATCACCTCACCCGGGAAGTGCAAGGGGTAAGGGGATTTCCCTTTCCTAGCCAAGGGAAGCCATGACAGACTGTACCAGGAAAATCAGGACACTGCCACCTAAACACTGTGCTTTTCCAACGGTCTTAGCAAATGGCACACCAGGAGATTATATCCCGTGCCTGGCTCAGCGAGTCCCACACCCACGGAGCCTTGCTCACTGCTAGTCTGAGATGGAACTGCAAGGTGGCAAGCCTGGCTGGGGGAGGGGTGTCCCCCATTGCTGAGGCTTGAGTAGTTAAGCAAAGCAGCTGGCAAGATTGAAATGTGTGGAGCCCACCACAGCTCAAGGAGGCCCACCTGCCTCTGCAGACTCCACCTCTGGGGGCAGGGCATAGCTGAATAAAAGGTAGCAGAAACTTCTGCAGACTTAAACGTCCCTGTCTGGCAGCTGTGAGGAGAGCAGTGGTTCTCCCAGCATGGTGTTTGAGCTCTGAGAATGGACAGACTGCCTCCTCAAGTGGGTCCCTGACCCCATGTAGCCTAACTTGGAGACACCTCCCAGTAGGGGCCGACTGACACCTCATACAGCTGGGTGCCCCTCTGAGACGAAGCTTCCAGAGGCAGGATCAGGCAGCAATATTTGCTGTTCCACAAAATTTGCTGTTCTGCAGCCTCTGTTGTTGATACCGAGGCAAACAGAACCTGGAGTGGACCTCCAGAAAACTCCAACAGACCTGCAGCTGAGGGACCTGACTGTTAGAAGGAAAACTAATAATCAGAAAGGAATAGCATCAACATCAACAAAAAGGACATCCACACTAAAACCGACAACTGTAGGTCACCATCATCAAAGACCAAAGGAAGATAAAACCACAAAGATGGGGAGAAACCAGAGCAGAAAAGTTGAAAATTCTAAAAACCAGAGTGCCACTTCTCCTCCAAAGGATCACAGCTCCTCACCAGCAATGGAACAAAACAGGATGGAGAAAGAATTTGATGAGGTGACAGAAGTAGGCTTCAGACAGTCGGTAATAACAAACTTCTCCAAGATAAAGAAAGAAGTTCAAACCCATCGCAAGGAAGCTAAAAACCTTGAACAAAGATTAGATGAATGGCTAACTAGAATAAACAGTGTAGAGAAGACCTTAAATGACCTGATGGAGCTGAAAACCATGGCATGAGAACTATGTGACACATGCACAAGCTTCAGTAGCCAACTCGATCAAGTGGAAGAAAGGGTATCAGTGATTGAAGATCAAATTACTGAAACGAAGCAAGAAGAGAAGTTTAGAGAAAAAAAAGAGTAAAAAGAAATGAACAAAGCCTCCAAGAAATATGGGACTATGTGAAAAGACCAAATCTACATCTGATTGGTGTACCTGAAAGTGAAGGGGAGAATGGAACAAAGCTGGAAATCACAGCAGGATATTATCCAGGAGAACTTCCCCAACCTAGCAAGGCAGGTCAAATTCAGGAAATACAGAGAACACTACAAAGATACTCCTCGAGAAGAGCAACTCCAAGACACATAATTGTCAGATTCACCAAGGTAGCAAAGAAGGAAAAAATGTTAAGGGCAGCCAGAGAGAAAGGTTGGTTACCCCCAAAGGGAAGGCTATTAGACAAACAGTGGATCTCTCAGCAGAAACCATACAAGCCAGAAGAGAGTGGGGGCCAATATTCAACATTATTAAACAAAAGAATTTTCAATGCAGAATTTCATATCCAGCCAAACTAAGCTTCATAAGTGAAGGAGAAATAAAATACTTCACAGACAAGCAAATGCTGAGAGATTATTTCACCACCACACCTGCCCTACAAGAGCTCCCGAAGGAAGCACTAAACATGGAAAGGAACAACCAGTACCAGCCACTGCAAAAACATGCCAAAATTTAAAGACAATCAATGCTGGGAAGAAACTGCATCAACTAACGAGCAAAATAGCCAGCTAACATCATAATGACAGGATTAAATTCACACATAACAATATTAACCTTAAATGTAAATGGGCTAAATGCTCCAGTTAAAAGACACAGACTGGCAAATTGGATAAAGAGTCAAGACCCATCAGTGTGCTGTATTCAGGAAACCCATCTCACCTGCAGAGACACATATAGGCTCAAAATAAAGGGATGGAGGAAGATCTACCAAGCAAATGGAAAACAAAAAAAGGCAGGGGTTGCAATCCTAGTCTCTGATAAAACCGACTTTAAACTAACAAAGATCAAAAGAGACAAAGAAGGCCATTACATAATGGTAAAGGGATCAATTCAACGAGAAGACCTAACTATCTTAAATATATATGCACCCAATATAGGAGCACCCAGATTCATAAAGCAAGTCCTTAGAGATGTACGAAGAGACTTAGACTCTCACACAATAATAATGGGAGATTTTAACACTCCACTGTCAACATTAGACAGTTCAACGAGACAGAAGGTTAACAAGGATATCCAGGAATTGAACTCAGCTCTGCACCAAGTGGACCTAATAGACATCTATAGAACTCTCCACCCCAAATCAACAGAATATACATTCTTCTCAGCACCACATCGCACTTATTCCAAAATTGACCACATAGTTGGAAGAAAAGCACTCCTCAGCGAACCTAAATGAACAGAAATTATAACAAACTGTCTCTCAGACCACAGTGCGGTCAAACTAGAACTCAGGTTTAAGAAACTCACTCAAAACCTCTCAACTACATGGAAACTGAACAACCTGCTCCTGAATGACTACTGGGTACATAGCAAAATGAAGGCAGAATAAAGATGTTCTTTGAAACCAATGAGAACAAAGACACAACATACCGTAATCTCTGGGACACATTTTAAGCAATGTGTAGAGGGAAATTTATAGCACTAAATGCCCACAAGAGAAAGCAGGAAAGATCTAAAATTGACACCCTAACATCACAATTAAAAGAACTAGAGAAACAAGAGCAAACACATTCAAAAGCTAGCAGAAGGCAAGAAATAACTAAGATCAGAGCAGAACTGAAGGAAATAGAGACACAAAAAAACCCTTCAAAAAATCAATGAATCCAGGAGCTGTTTTTTTTAAAAGATCAACAAAATTGATAGACCGCTAGCAAGACTAATAAAGAAGAAAAGAGAGAAGAATGAAATAGATGAAATAAAGAATGATAAAGGGGATATCACCACCAAGCCCTCAGAAATACAAACTACCATTAGAGAATACTATAAAGACCTCTATGCCAATAAACAAGAAAATCTAGAAGAAATGGATAAATTCCTGGACACATACACCCTTCCAAGACTAAACCAGGAAGAAGTTAAATCCCTGAATAGAACAATAACAGGCTCTGAAATTGAGGCAATAATTAATAGCCTACCAACTAAAAAAAGTCCATGACCAGACAGATTCACAGCCGAATTCTACCAGAGGTACAAGGAGGAGCTGGTACCACTCCTTCTGAAACTATTGCAATCAATATAAAAAGAGGGAATCCTCCCTAACTCATTTTATGAGGCCAGCATCATCATGATACCAAAGCCTGGCAGAGACACAACAAAAAAAGAATTTTAGAACAATATCCCTGATGAACATCGATGCAAAAATCCTCAATAAAATACTGCCAAACCGAATCCAGCAGCACATCAAAAAACTTATCCACCATGATCAAGTGGGCTTCATCTCTGGGATGCAAGGCTGGTTCAACATATGAAAATCAATAAACGTAATCCAGCATATAAACAGAACAAAAGACAAAAACCACATGATTATCTCAATAGATGCAGAAAAGGCCTTTGACAAAACTCAATAGCCCTTCATGCTAAAAACTCTGAATAAATTAGGTATTGATGGGATGTATCTCAAAATAATAAAAGCTATTTATGACAAACCCACAGCCAATATCATACTGAATGGGCAAAAACTGGAAGTATTCCCTTTGAAAACTGGCAGAAGACAGAGATGCCCTCTCTCACCACTCTTATTCAACATACTGTTGGAAGTTCTGGCCAGGGTAATCAGGCAGGAGAAAGAAATAAAAGGCATTCAGTTAGGAAAAGAGGAAGTCAAACTGTCCCTGTTTGCAGATGACATGATTGTATATTTAGAAAACCTCATTGTCTCAGCCCCAAATCTCCTTAAGCTGATAGGCAACTTCAGCAAAGTCTCAGGATACAAAATCAATGTGCAAAAATCACAAGCATTCTTATACACCAATAACAGACAAACAGAGAGCCAAATCATGAGTGAACTCCCATTCACATTTGCTTCAAAGAGAATAAAATACCTAGGAATCCAACTTACAAGGGACATGAAGGACCTCTTCAAGGAGAATTACAAATCACTGCTCAACGAAATAAAAGAGGACACAAAGAAATGGAAGAATATTCCATGCTCATGGGTAGGAAGAATCAATATCTGAAAATGGCCATACTGATCAAGGTAATTTATAGATTCAATGCCATCCCCATCTAGCTACCAATGACTTTCTTCACAGAATTGGAAAAAACTACTTTAAAGTTCATATGGAATCAAAAAGAGCCCGCATTGCCAAGACAATCCTAAGCCAAAAGAACAAAGCTGGAGGCATCACACTACCTGACTTCAAACTATACTACAAGGCTACAGTAACCAAAACAGCATGCTACTGGTACCAAAACAGAGATATAGACCAATGGAACAGAACAGAGCCCTCAGAAATAATACCACACATCTACAACCATCTGATCTTTGACAAACCTGACAAAAACAAGAAATGGGGAATGGATTCCCTATTTAATAAATGGTGCTGGGAAAACTGGCTAGCCATATGTAGAAAGCTGAAACTGGATCCCTTCCTTACACCTTATGCAAAAATCAATTCAAGATGGATTAAAGACTTACATGTTAGACCTAAAACCATAAAAACCCTAGAAGAAAACCTAGGTAATACCATTCAGGACATAGGCATGGGCAAAGACTTCATGACGAAAACACCTAAAGCAGTGGCAACAAAAGCCAAAACTGACAAATGGCATCTAATTAAACTAAAGAGCTTCTGCACAGCAAAAGAAACTACCATCAGAGTGAACTGGCAACCTACAGAATGGGAGAAAATTTTTGCAATCTACCCATCTGACAAAGGGCTAATAACCAGAATCTACAAAGAACTCAAACAAATTCACAAGAAAAAATCAAACAACCCCATCAAAACGTGAGCAAAGTATATGAACAGACACTTTTCAAAAGAAGACATTTATGCAGGCAACAGACATGAAAAAATGCTCATCATCACTGGCCATCAGCGAAATGCATATCAAAACCACAATGAGATACCGTCTCACACCAGTTAGAATGGCGATCATTAAAAAGTCAGGAAACAACAGATGCTGGTGAGGATATGGAGAAATAGGAACACTTTTACACTGTTGGTGGGAGTGTAAACTAGTTCAACCATTGTGGAAGGCAGTGTGGTGATTCTTCAAGGATCTAGAACTAGAAACACCATTTGACCCAGCCATCCCATTACTAGGTATATACCCAAAGGATTATAAATCATGCTAGTATAAAGACACATGCAGATGTATGTTTATTGTGGCAGTATTCACAATAGCAAAGACTTCAAACCAGCCCAAATGTCCATCAATGATAGACTGGATTAAGAAAATATGGCACATATACATCAGGGAATACTATGTAGCCATAAAAAAGGATGAGTTCATGTCCTTTTTAGGGACATGGATGAAGCTGGAAACCATCATTCTGAGCAAACTATCACAAGAAGAGAAAACCAAACACCACATGTTCTCACTCATAGATGGGAATTGAACAATGAGAACACTTGGACACAGGGCTGGGAACATCACACACTGGGGCCTGTCATGGGGTGGAGGGATGGGGGAGGGATAGCATTAGGAGAAATACCTAATGTAAATGATGAGTTAATGTGTGCAGCAAACCAACATGGCACATGTATACATATGTAACAAACCTGCATATTGTGCACATGTACCCTAGAACTTAAAGTATAATAATAGTAATAAAAGCCAAAAAAAAGACTACTTTAAACAAAACATGATACTGGTACAAAAACAGACACATAGACCAATGGAACAGAACAGACAACCCAGAAATAAAGCCACACACCTACAGCCATCTGATCTTTGACAAAGTCAACAAAAAAAAAAAATGAGGAAAGGGCTCTCTATTCAATATATGGTTCTGGGGTAGCTGGCTAGTCATATGCAAAAGAATGAAAATGGGCCCATACCTTTCACCGTATGCAAAAAATAACTCAAGATAGATTAAAGATTTCAGTTTTAGAGTTATAAGATTCCTAGAAGAAAACCTGGAAAACACTATTTTGGATATCGGCCTTAAGACAGATTTCATGACAAAGATACCAACAGCAATTGTGACAAAAACAAACTTGACATGTAGGACCTAATAAAATCAAAAAGCTTCTTTATAGCAAAAAAAAAAAAAAAAAAGATTATCAGCAGAGTAAACAGATGGCCTAGAGAATGAAATAAAATATTTGCAAAGGTACGTCCAACAAAGGTCCAATATCCAGAGTCTATAAGAAATTGTTTTAAAATATACAAGCAAAAAACAAATAAACCCATTAAGAAGTGGACAAAGAACATGAGCAGACACTTCTGAAAAGAAGACATGCAAGCATCTCACAAACATGAAAAATGCTCAGTCTCACTAACCATTTGAGAAATGCAAATCTAAACCACAATGAGATAACATCTCTCACCAGTCAGAATGGCTATTATTAAAAAGTAAACAAAAACAAAACAAACAATTAAACAAAACGTGGTACTGTTGTTGAATCAAGTTTAGCCTAAAGCTGCCTCCTCACATATTTTATATTTGGCCTAAAGGGTTTTTTTTACATTGTGAACTATAACAAGTGGAGGTGTAACCTAGACCATAGCCTACACTTGTGCCAATTACCAATATTTGACCAATCAAATGTAGCCAACTATTTGAACTATGTTCAAATAAGGCAAATGCTGAGCTGTAACCAATCCAGACTTTTCTCTACCTCACTTTCATTTTCTGTACATCACTTTTCTTTTTCTGTTCATAAATCTTTCACCACGTGGCTGTGCTGGAGTCTCTGAGCCTACTCTGGCCCAGGCGGCTGCCTGATTCACAAATTGTTCATTACTCAATTAAACCATTAAACTAAATTCAGCTTGAAGTTTTGTTTTATCAGATGGCCTCGGAAGTGGGATCCGAAGTAGAACTTCTAAAGACCCGTAGGAGCACTGAGTGACCAACCGAGATACCCGTTAGATCCATTGTGTTTCTTGATCTCTCAGAGCAGCTGGGGAGCATGGTAAATTCTCAGATTCTGAAGTTCCATGGGTTTGTGTTTTGAGTTCTCCAAGTTTCTTTAAGCAAATTTCTGATCCAAACTGGGTTTGGAAGTCATGACAGAAACTAGACTGAGTCCAGGATTCGATTGGATCTGGTAATTAACTGTCTTGGGTCCAGTTAGAAGCCTCTTACATCTGACTGGGTCAGAAGGAAATTAGTAGTAAATGAAAATATTGTAGGAGGTGTACATTTTGGCTTTCAGACATTTGCAGGAATTTTTTTCCTCTACTCCTTTGTGGCTTAGTTGATCAAGGGAACCTGAGAGCAAAGCCAATACTTGAGGTAAAAATGAAATCCTTAATTTTTGAAGAAGAGAGTTCCTTCTGGCTTATACATACATAAGTATTGGGCCGTGGAAGCAACAGTCTTACAGAAATGATAAAATTTTACTAATCTTACTAACATAACTTACAGTGGAATGTTCCAAATGAACAACACTGCACTAAAGTATATTTGAAAATGAGAGCTCCCAAATTAGTCTCATCTAGGGATGCCTACTGATATGCAGAAAAGGAATTTTCAATATTTTTATTTAAAGGCTTTATGAAAGGGAAATAAAAATCTTAAGTGATTGATTAAAAAATTAAATCTGCTAACTTTTTGACTTAGTTATGATTGTGATCCAAAGGAAATAAACTGCCAACTTTGTGTATGTAGTGGTGTACATTTTACCTGGGTAAAGGATGGGATTGGGTTAGAGGCCATCTCCTCAGTAAAGTTCCTCTTAGTAAAAAATGGATTTGTCACTATTGAGATATTGACCATTATTCTCTTTAAATTAATTTGGCTTTCATTCTTTGGGTGGCTGTGGGTGACAGAATTAGGTATGTACAGTATAACTGGACATGGGGAGCTTCTTTCTCCCTAAGGGGAGAAATTTGAGAGCTGATGAGACTGCTGGAATAGATCCCTTATAATGACTGACAAGTAGCCACTTGAACTTTTAATTTTGTGTTGCTGCAATGAGTGGGTCTTTCTCTGGCCTCCATGAGCTCCTTGCCTTTCCTACACTGCTGCAAGCAATGCTTTTCTCCCTTCCTTTTTCTCCCTTCCCTTTTCTCTCTCTCTGTGCAAACTGGTTGTAGGAATGGCAAAAATTACTATCTCTTGCAAAGTTTAACTTAATGAGAAAAGTGAAGATAGTCTTAAGCTGTAGCAAACCTGGTGTATTTTGTGCTATGAATTTGTTTTTATTGTATCATTCTGTCATAAAGAGGGGTATCTTAGGATACAATGTGGGCCTAGGAGCTCCATAAGCTTGCTGTCAAGCCAGCACAGCAAACTGGTCAGCTACAAACTTTGCTGCAGGTCCCTGAAACAAAAAACTGGGTGAGTTTTTTCTTCATCTTTTTTTTTATGTCCTTGGGAGCTTGACTTGTAACCACCTAGCAATACTTTTTCTTGGTTTCTGCCATCCAGGGAACAGAAATTTGGCAGTACATTTCATAGTTAGCTCAAAAAATTATTTCGAGCAATTAAAAGCCATTGCAAGCTGAAAATTGGCTGCTCTAGATTCCTTGTTTTAAGAGCATTGGAAACTGCCCAGTACAATAGCTTAGTAGCTAAGGCTTTGTCTTTTCACAATGGTGGCCTGGCTTCAGGGTTCAGTTCCAGGCTTAAGAAATGAGTCCTTTCAATTCCTCAGGGATCTAGAACTAGAAATACCATTTGACCCGCCATCCCATTACTGGGTATATACCCAAAGGGTTATAAAACCTGCTGCTATAAAGACACATGCACACGTATGTTTATTGCAGCACTATTCACAATAGCAAAGACTTAGAACCAACCCAAATGTTCAACAATGATAGACTGGATTAAGAAAATGTGCACATATACACCATGGAGTACTATGCAGCCATAAAAAATGATGAGTTCATGTCCTTTGTAGGGACATGGATGAAGCTGGAAACCATAATTCTCAGCAAACTATCGCAAGGACAAAAATCCAAACACCGCATGTTCTCACTCATAAGTGGAAATTGAACAATGAGAACACATGGACACAGGAAGGGGAACATCACACACTGGGGCCTGTTGTGGGGTGGGGGGAGGGGGAGGGATAACATTAGAGATATACCTAATGTTAAATGATGAGTTAATGGGTGCAGCACACCAGCATGGCACATGTATACATATGTAACAAACCTGCACGTTGTGCACATGTACCCTAAAATTTAAAGTATAATAAAAAAAAGAAATGAGTCCTTTAATGATATAACACATACGTGACTTTTGCTATTTATTGATTCTCTTCTCCTCCATGAAAAACTTCTGAATTCACTTCTTGAATTTTACTTTCTCTGAGCACCTGAAAGGATACGTTTAGTGAAGTTCAAAAGCCAGACATATTTGCTGTTTGTTCAGGCTAGCATCTGGTAATAAATATTTGGTTAAAAGTTAGCTTAATTAAAAGCAGACAGATATTCAAGCTACAGGTATATTTAAAAGGTATTTATGGATTTTTATCTTCTTGAATCTTGTATTTTTGAAGTGTTTTTTCTTTTCAGTCAACTGAATTGTTTTTCTTTATTTTTTCTTCTTGTCACTTTTGATGCACACATAAGAGAACCTTAAATAACCTCTAACAGCTTGGGACTCCGTGGCAAAAACAGAGGAGGAGCCACTGACCCTGTTTTGGGAAAAACCTCTGTTTTAGTCATGAAACCCCAGGAACTGAAAACAGACAGATCTCTCTTAGAATCTAAGGCTAAACATACTTTTGGGGATAGCAAAGGGCAGTTGTGGAGGATACTTGGCTCTTTGCACATTTAAATCATAGAAGCATGCTCTTGGCCACCTAAAAAGAATGGAAATGTCCCCACCCCTCACTGAAATTAGACTCCCATGGGGGATGGGCTAATCACAGAATCAACTAATCAGCTTCGGGATGCTTTGCAATGCAAAGCAGTGATTTTACCATGAAACACACAAAATCATTGCACTGTCTTGCTCTATAACACTTCTCTTTTGGGGATGCAGGATCCAGCATAAAAATGGGACCCTGAATTTTTAGGGATCCAATCCAGCTGTACCTGTGTATTAGGCCTTAAAAACTGCATGCTTCAAAAAGAAATTCAAAAACTGGCAAATGAAAAAATCATACAACCATTAGATCTTCTTCTACATTTCTGTGTATTTATATGTGTTCTGTATGTGATGTTTATATATGAAAGATCTCTGATTAATTGGCTTAAAAATAATAAGTGCTTGAATCACATATTTTGTTATGAAAATAAAAATTGTTCAACTTTTGCTCCAAAAACCACTGCAGGGAGATACCAGGGAAATCTAAATAATTCACAGACCCTTTGAAAGAAGTGGTTTGCTGCTGCAAACTCCATGAGACAGCCAAAACCTGTGAGTGCCCAAAGTGTGATAGGAGAAAAGTCTGTCTCTGAACACACATCCTCAGTGAAGAACCTAAAAATCCAAATCAGAAGAGAAGGATTTAACCTTACCTAGAGCTGAAACAAATTTAGAGAGCTGAGGAAAATATAAAAGTAGAAGAAGCAGCAGAAGAAGCCCTGTAGGCACTCCTGAGCCCCAGGAAGCCATTTTTTACTTTATCTCACAGAGGCCCTTGGGAAGGGCTGCCAGTGGAATTAGAGAAGGACCACAGGAAGAAGGAAAACTCCAGCTGAATTTTGTAATAATTTTGACTGAGCATGATTTTTCCTGGGCAGAATCTGGGATGGGGGGAGGTGAATGGGATGTTCAGATATGAGCACAGAAGCTGCAGCAGTCTTCTAACCTGGGGCAAGATCTCAGTCTTGCTCACTTGCTGAATACATATAAACTCGGTGCTGTTGGTGGGACACAGTTGGAGTGAGACTGGCTTTGTTGGCTGCATGGGAGCTGGGTGAGGCCTGTCACTGCCAACTTTCACCACTTTACTGGTGACCTGTATGATAAAGCAGAGGCATATATAATCCCCTTGGGAACATAACACCATTAGCCTGAGAATCACACCCCTATTCTCACAGTGGCTGCAGCAAGCTCTGCCCCAAAAGAGTCTGAGCTCAGACATGCAGAACCTTGCCTCCTACGTGATACTCTTTCTCTATTCACCTTGGTAGCTGAAGATAAAAGACATAATCTCTTGGAAGCTCTGTGGCACCTGAGAAACCCAAACACTTATCCAGGCAACATTAGGGCAAGCTTGTATCCCCCTATACTACCATAGCTGATGCTGTCTTGAAAGTGCCACCTCCTGGCTGGAGGCCAAACAGCTAAAACCACTACAGCAACTCAGGAATGAACAACTCTACTCCAATAAATGAGAAAACAAGAGCTAATTTTACTTCCTGTAACATCCTGGCTAACTAGAGGTCCTGAGTCTCTTCATGTAACAACTTAACTGCATTTGAGAAAACCAGTGCACTAAACAAAACTACAACCAAGGACCCTCACAGACTCAACATCACTCCCTTGCTACCTCTATTGGAACAGGTGTTGGTATCTATGGCTGACAGACCTGAAGACAAATCACATCACAGGACTCTTTGTGGACACTCCCAAGGACCTGCCTGGAGCCCAGTAGCTCCACTGGGTGGCTAGACCTAGAAGAGCAATAACAAAAAGTGCAGTCCAGCTCTTGAAAGCCCCATCCCTAGGGGAAGAGGGAGAGTATGAAATCAAGGGATCACCCTGTGAAACAAAATAATGAGCAGAAGCCCTTGAGTCCAGGTCTTTTCTCTGACATAGTCTACCCAAATAAGAAGAAACCAGACAAACAGTTCTGGTAATATGACAAAACAACATTCTTAAACACCCCCATAAGATCATACTAGCTCACCAGAAATAAAATCAAATGAAGAAGAAATCTCTGAATTGCCAGAAACAAAAAAATTCAGAAGGCCAATTATTAAGCTACTCAAGGAGGCACCAGAAAAAGGTGGAAACCAGCTTAAATAAATTTAAAATATAATGCAAGATGTGGCCAAAAAAATCTCCAGAGAAATAAACAGCATACATAAGAAATAATCATAAAACTTCTGTAAATGAAAGACAAACTCATAGAAATGCAAAATATACTGGAAAGTTTCAACAATAGAATGTAAATAGTAGAAAACAGAACTTCAGAACTCAAATACGAGGCTATTGAATTAACCCAATCTTACAAAGACAAAGAAGAAAATGAATAAGAATAAAGTCTCCAAGAAGTTTAAGATTATGTTAAACTACCAAACGTAAGAATAATTGGTGTTCTGAAAAACAAGAAAAACCTAAACGTTTGGAAAACATATTTGAAGGGATAATTGAGAAAAGTTCTTTGGTCTTCCTAGAGATATAGATATCAAAATGCAAGAAGCTCCAAGAATACTGGTGAAATTCATCACTGAATGATCATCACCTAGGCACATAGTCATCAGGTTATCTAAAGGCAAGGCAAATGAAAGAATCTTGAGAGCTGTGAGGCAAGAGCTTCAGGTAATCTATAAATGAAAACTCATCAGATTAACAGCATATTTCTAAGCAGGAACCCCTCAAGCTAGAAGAAATTGGGGTCCTATTTTAGCCTCCATAAACAAAACTGTTATCAGCCAAGAATTTTGTATCCAGCAAAAGTCAGCTTCATAAATGAAAAAGAGATAATCATTTTCTCATGAACAAATACTGAGAGAATTCACCACTACCAAGCCAGCGCTAAAAGAACTGTTGAAAGCAGATCCAAATCTTTAAACCTCAAAATACACCAAAATAGAACCTCATTAAAGCATAAATCTCACAGGACCTATGAAACAAGAACCCAATGGAAAAATAAAGCATTGTATTCAGGCAACAACTAGCATGATGAATAAAATAGTACCTCACATCTTAATATTAATGCTGAATGAAATAGCCTAAATGCTCCACTTAAAAGATACAGGATGGCAGAATGGATAAGAATTAACCAACCAACTATCTGCTGTCTTCTAGAGACTCACCTGACACATAAGGACTCACATAAACTTAAGGTAAAGAGGTGGAAAAAGATATTCTATGCAAATGGACATCAAAAGTGAGCAGGAGTAGCTTTTCTTATATCAGACAAAACAGACTTTAACACAAAAACAGTAAAAAAGGCAAAGAGTAACATTATATAATGATAAAAAGACTAGTCCAACAGGAATATATGACAATCCTAAATATATATGCACCTAACACTGGAGCTCCGAAAGTTATAAAACAATTACTTCTAAACCTCAGAAGTGAGATAGACAGAAGCACAATAATAGTGGGGACTTCAGTACTCCACTGACAGCATTAGACATATCATCAAGACAGAAAGTCAACAAAGAAACAATGGACATAAGTGATGCCCTAGATCAAATGGACTTAACACATATTTACATAACATTCTACCCAAGAACTGCAGAATATACATTCTATTCATCAGCACATGGAGCATTCTCCAAGATAGACCATATGATAGGCCACAAAACAAGTCTCAATAAATTTAAGAAACTCAAAATTGTATCAAGTACTGTCTCAGACCACTGAAGAATAAAATTGAAAATCAACTCCCAAAGGAACCCTCAAAACCATGCACATACATAGAAATTAAATAATCTGCTTCTGAATGATCTTTGGTTCAACAATAAACTCAAGGTGGAATTAAAAATTTTTTGAACTGACCAATAGTAGTGACAGACATCTGCAGAAATGTCCACCCAAATTTAACAGAATATACGTACTTCTAATTGCCACATAGCACTTACTCTAAAATTCATGACATAATTGAAAGTAAAACACTCCTCAGAAAATGCAAAAGAACTGAAATCATAATGAATAGTTCTCAGACCGCAGTACAATCAAATAAAAACTCAAGGTGAAGAAATTTACTCAAAAACACACAGCTACATGAAAATTGAAGAACCTGCTCCTCAATGACTCTTGAGTAAACAATGAAGTTAAGGCAGAAATCAAGACATTCTCTAAAACTAATGAGAACAAAAAGACAATGTACTAGAATCTCTGGGACACAGCTAAAGCAATATTAAGAGGTAAATTTATATCACTAAATCATCACATCAAAAAGCTAGAAAGATCCAGAGTTAACAACCTAACATCTCAACTAAAAGAGCTAAAGAACCAAGAGAAAACAAACCCCAAAGCTATCAGAAGACAAGAAGTAAACAATATCACAGCTGAAGTGAAAGAGAAAGAGACACAAAAACCCTTCAAAAAGTCAATGAATCCAGGAGCTGGCTTTTTGAAAACAATAATAAAATAGACTGCTAACAAGACTAATATAGAAGAAAAGAGGAAAGAATAAAATAAACACAATCAGAAATGATAAATGGATAATTTCCAGGACACATACACCCTCCCAAGACTTAATGAGGAAGAAATTGAATCTCTGAATAGACCAATAATAAGTTCTGAAATTGAGGCAGTAATAAATAGCTTACAAACCAAAAACAAAACAAAATGAGGGACTCCTCCCTAACTCATTCTATGAGGCCAGCATCATCCTGATACCAAAACCTGGCAGAGATAAAAACAAAAACAAAAACAAAAACAAAAACAAAAACCTTCAGGTCAATATCCTTCATAAACATTGATGCAAAAATTCTCAATAAAATACTTGTAAACCAAATCCAGCAGCACATCAGAAAGCTTATCCACCACGATCAAGTTGGCTTCATCCCTGGGATCCATGGTTAGTTAAGCATACACAAATCAATAAATGTGATTCATCACATAAACAGAACTAAAGACAAAAACCACATGATTATCTCAGTAGATGCAGAAAAGGCCCTTGATAAAATTCAGCATCGCTTCATGTTAAAAATTCTCAATAAACTAGGTATTAAAGGAACATATCTCAAAATCATAAGCCATATATAACAAACCCATAGCAAGTGCCATACTGAATGGTAAAAAAACTGAAAGAATTCCCCTCGAAAACCAGCACAAGACAAGGATGCCCTCTCTCACCACTCCTATTCAGCATAGTATTGGAAGTTCTGGCCAGGGCAATCAGGCAGGAGTAAGAAAGCATATTCAAATAGGAAGGGAGGAAGTCAAATTATCTTTGTTTGTAGATGACGTGATTCTATATCTAGAAAACCTCACCATCTCAGCCCAAAAGTTTCTGGCTATTCAATGCTATTCCCATTAAACTACCACTGGCAATCTTCACAGAATTAGAAAAAACTATTTTAACATTCATATGGAACCAAAAATGAGCCTGAATAGCCAAGTCATTCCTAAGCAAAAAGAACAAAGCTAGAGGCATCATGCTCCCCGACTTCAAACTATACTATAAGGCTACAGTAACCAAAACAGCAAGGTACTGGTACAAAAACAGATGCACAGACCCATGTAACAGAATAGAGAACCCAGAAATAAGACCACACACCTACAACCGTCTGATCTTCAGCAAACTTGACAAAAATTAGCAATGAGGAAATGACTTTCCATATAATAAATGCTGCTGTGTGTGCTGGCTGGCTATATGCAGAAAATTAAAACTAGACCCATTTATTACACCACATACAAAAATTAACTCTAGTTGGATTAAAGACTTAAATGTAAACCCCCAAACCATTAATACCCTAGAAGAAAATCTAGGCAATATCATTTAGGACATAGGTATTGGTAAAGGTTTCATGATGAAAATGCCAAAAGCAATCACAACAAAATAAAAATTGACAAATAGGATCTAACTAAACTAAAGGGCTTCTGCACAGCAAAATAAACTGTCATCATAGTGAACAGACAGCCTTCAGAATGAGAGAAAATTTTTGCAATTTACCTATCGGATAAAGGTCTAATATCCAGAGTATACTAGAAATTTAAACAAATTTACAAGAAAAAAGTAAACAATCCCAATAAACTTGGGAAAATGAACAAACACTTTTCAAAAGAAGGTATACATTCATCCAAAAACATATGAAGAAAGCTCAACATCACTGATTATTAGATAAATGCATGTCAAAAACACAATGAGATACCCTCTCAAGCCAGTCAGAATGGCGATCTTTAAAAAGTAAAAAAAACAACAGACGCTGTTGAGATTGCAGAGAAAAAGGAATATTTTTACACTGTTGGTGAGAATGTAAATTAGTTCAACCATTGTGGAGGACAGTGTGGTGATTCTGCAAAGATGTAGAGACAGAAATACCATTTGACCCAGCCATCCTATTACTGGGTATATAACCAAATTAATATAAATTATTCTATGATAAAGATACATGAACATGTATGTTCACTGCAGCACTTTTCACAATAGCAAAGACATGGAATCAATCTAAATGCCCATGAATGGTAAACTGGATAAAGAAAATGTGGTCCAGATTCACTCTGAAATACTATGCAGTCATAAAAAGGAACAAGATCATTTATTTTGCAGGGACATAGATGGGGTTGGAAGCCTTGTTTCTCAGCAAACTAATGCAGAAACAGAAAACCAAACACCACATGTTCTCACTTATAAGTGGGAGCTGAATGATGAGAAAAATGGACATATGGGGGAAACAACACACACTGGGGCCTGTTGCAGGTGATTAGGGGAGGGAGAGTATCAGAAAAAATAGCTAATGGATGTTGGGCTTAATACCTAGGTGATAAAATGATCTGTACAGCAAACCACCATGGCACACATTTACCTGTGTAACAAACCTGCACATCCTGCACACATACCCCTAAACTTAAAATAAAAGTTAAGGGGCAAAAAAAAAAACCTGAAGGAGATGGATAAATTCCTGGAAATATACAACCCTCCTAGATTAAACCAGAAAAATACAGAAACTCTGAACAGACCAATAGCAAGCAGCAAGATTGAAATGGTAATTTTAAAATTGCCAACAAAAGTCCAGGGACAGATAGATTAACAGCTGAATTCAATCAGACATTCAAAGAAGAATTGATATGAATTCTGTTGAAACTATTCTAAAAGATAGAGAAAGACAGAATCCTCCCTAAATCATTCTATGAAGCCAGTATTTCCCTAATACAAAAACCAGGAAAGTACATAACAAAAAACAAAACTGCAGACCAATATCTCTGATGAACATAGATGTAAATATCCTCAAGAAAATACTAGCTTACCAAACCTAACAGCAGATGACAAAGACAATCCACCATGATCAAGGCCTTTTCATGGCAGTGATGCAGTGTTGGTTTAACATATGCAAGTCAAGAAATGTGATACACCACATAAACAGAATTAAAAACAAAAAATCCCATGATCATCTCAATAGAGGCAGAAAAAGCATTTGACAACATCTAGCATTGCTATATGATTAAAACCCTCACCAAAATCAGCATAGAAGGGGCATACCTTAAAGTAATAAATGCCATCTGTGACAAGCCCACAGCCAACATTATACTGACCATGGAAAAATTGAAAACATTCCCCCTAAGAACTGGAATAAGACAAGGATGCCCATGTTCAACACTTCTTTTCAACATAATACCAGAAGTCCTAGCCAGAGCAATCAGACAAGTGAAAGAAATAATGGACATCCAAACTGGTACGGAAAAGTCAAACTATTGCTCTTCACCAATGATAAAATCATATATGTAGAAAAACCTAAAGACTAATCCAAAAGCTCCTAGATCTGATAAATGAATTCAGTAAAGTTTCAGAATACAAAATCAATGCACACAAATTTAATAGAGCTGCTATGAACCAAACTGAGAATCAAATCAAGATCTCAGCCACTTTTACAATAGGTGTGAAAAAAATAAAATACTTAGAAATATACCAAACAAGGAGGTGAAAGACCTCTACAAGGAAAATTAGAAAATGCTGCTGAAAGAAATCATAGATGACACAATCAAATGGAAACACATCTCATGCTCAGGGATGGGTAGAATCAATATTGTGAAAAGGACTATACTTCCAAAAGCAATCTACAATTCAATGCAATTCCCATCAACATATCATCATCATCTTTCACAAAACTGGAAAAAACAATTCTAAAATTCGTATGGTGCCGAGACCAGCTTGGTCGTGGATACCCTTACCCAGTGGCGCTGGAGGAATTAAAGACACACACACAGAAATATAGAATGTGAAGTGGGAAATCAGGGGACTCACAGCCTTCAGAGCTGAGAGCCCCGAACAGAGTTTGATCCACATATTTATTGACAGCAAGCCAGTGATAAGCATTATTTCTATAGATTATAGATTAACTAAAAGCATTCCTTATGGGAAACAAAGGGATGGGCTCTGGCTAGTTATCTGCAGCACAAATATGTCCTTAAGGCACAGATTGCTCATGCTATTGTTTGTGGTTTAGGAATGCCTTTAAGCAGTTTTCTGCCCTGGGTGGGCCAGGTGTTCCTTGCCCTCATTCCAGTAAGCCAACAACTTTCAGCGTGGGCGTCATGGCCATCACAAACATGTCACAGTGCTGCAGAGATTTTGTTTATGACCAGTTTTGGGGCTACTTTATGGCCAGATTTGGGGGCTTATCCCCAACATATCCCCCTTTTATGTTTTGCAAAGCAATAAAAGCAAAGGCAGCTTTGTCATGGTGAACTATTTCTTGCAGGAGTCGGGATCCGCATCTACAGACTATACAAAGACAAACAACACAGATTAAAAACACAATCATCATTGAAATCACAGAGCCTCCAAGTGTCCTTATCTATTTTAATGGGTTAATAGCTGCTACTCTGTCTGCAGCTCCTTCAAGCACTCCAGTTCCTGGCATTAAGGTCAGGTGTGCCTGGGATGCTTTAAATATTTGTTCTTTTAATTTTGCAATATCCAAAGACAAGTTTGTGGAGTGTCCTTCTAGATGCTTTTTTATTATTTCCCAAATTTTGATCTTATTTAAGAGCCATTAATTGTTTCCACAAATCCTTATGTTTAACTCCTAGAGCGAGCCATATCATTTGAGGTTGAGGTGCCACTATACCACCATGTTTCCAGATAATAGGAACTCTTGCCATATTTCTAACCATTTCTACCATCTGACCATTCTGTTCAGACCAGCTGAACATAGTGTGGCCATGGCACACAGACTGAGAGGTGCAATTCAAGCTGAACATCCCCTTAGGGGACCAATCAATAATGATTCCATAGGAATCGTTGCACAGCACCTCTGCCTGTTCTGCAATGCAATTTTCCCAAACAAGTACATTCATTATTTCTGGCCAGGTCCAATTCTGCTTACAAATAGGTTTTTGAGGGCAGTATGCCTCAATTATAGGAGCAGATGTATTATGGTAAATACTGAGATCAGAAAGCATGTGTAACTGTGTCATAGAGTGATTACATCCAGGCATTATTGCCAGCCAAGATCGATAAATATGACCAATAAGTATAATTGTTCTCTGTGTCAGCCCTTGTTGAGGGAATACTCACAGCAGTGGTGATCACTGCTATTATGGCTATGATTAAATTACTCATGGTGACTGGTTGTCCTGCTTTCCTCAGGTTTTCTTCTGCTATCTGTGACAGCTTCTTGATCTGTCCGCAGGTAGTTGGCTGTGTTCAATAGGTGTTGCTTGTGACAGTTGGGGTCCTCCTCAGCATCAGTCTTGACATGGCTGCAACTGGGGGGTTCTCGGGTTCCTCCCAGAGTCTCTTATTTGGCATCTGGCTCATGATAAGGCTTTAGATGTCTTGATGGCACCCAAATTGGCTGTTGATTTGGTCCTGGAGAAACACAAGCATAACCTCTACCCCAAGTTATTAATTTACCTATTTCCCAACTTTTTGTTATCAGATCTCTCCACCAAACTAGTTATTCTGCTTCTGTCTTTGCAGCTTGTTTTTGTAGATGTTATTCAGTTGCTGATTGCATCTGGCGTTTAGACAGGCTCAAAAAATTTAAAGTCAATAATGCTACATTCAATTCCATATGGGGTGTCCCGTAGTCCCCAGTTTCCCCCTTTAGCTTTTGCAACTGCTGTTTTAGGGAGAGATTCATTCTTTCCACTATGGCTTGTCCTTGAGAATTATATGGGATACCACTAATGTGTTTAATATTCCATATAGAGATAAATGTAGCTAGAGCTTGACTAGTAGAGCCTGAGGCATTATTTGTTTTAATAGAAGTTGGAATGCCCACTACCACAAAACACTGCAAAAGGTGACATTTAACACAGGAAGAAGACTCTCCTTATTGGCATGTAGCCCAGACAAAGTGAGAAAAGGTGTCCACACATACATGTACATAAGCTAGTCTCCCAAATGAGGGAACATGTGTGACATTCATTTGCCAAAGAGAATTAGTTTCCAATCCTCGAGGATTAACTCCACCTGTAAAAGATGAGGAATACACCATTTGGCAAGTTGGACATTGCTGGATAATAGCTTTAGCTTCTTTCCAGGTAATGCTGTATCTGCGTTTGAGACCAGCGGCATTAACATGGGTTAAATTGTGAAAGTGTCTAGCATTAGATATTGCAGTAGCAACTAGGTGTTCAGCCACTTGATTCCCTTCAGTTAAAAGTCCTGGAAGAGGTTTATGAGCCCTAATGTGAGGGACGCAAAAAGGGTGCATTCTACTCCTGACTGCTGTTTGCAATTAGGTAAATAAAGTCATCAGTTGTTCATCTGTATGAAATCGTAACTGAACATTTTCAATTAATTGTGTGGAATGAACCACATATGATGAATCAGAAATCACATTAATAGTCATATTAAAAGCAGTCAATACCTCAATTACAGCTACAAGCTCTGCTTTCTGAGCAGAAGTATAGGGCATCTGAAAAATTTTACCTTTCAATTCAGAATAAGAAGCTTTACCATTACTAGACCCATCTGTGAAGACATTTTCAGCACCTTTAATTGGTTTAAATTTAGTTATTTTAGGGAGAATCCAATTAGTTAATTTCAAAAATTGAAACAGTTTCATTTTAGGAAAATGATTATCGAGAATAACCACAAAGTCAGCTAAATGGGTTTGCCAAGTAAGACTATTTATAAAAGCTTGCTGTATTTGTGCCTTCATGAGAGGGACAATAATTTTTCCAGGATAATATCCATGTAATTTAACAATCTGAGTTCTCCCATTTCCTATCATAGTAGCGATTTGATCCACATAAGGAGTTAGAGTCCGTGAATTAGTATGTGGAAGAAAAAGCCACTCTACAAGACCTTGCTCTTGAACAATAACACCAGTAGAATGCTGAGTTGAAAAAATTAGCAAATCTGGAATCTTCTCTGGATCTATTCTATTTATTTGAGCTTTATGGACTTGCTTTTCAATCAGCTGTAACTCTGCCTCAGCCTCCTTTGTTAATTGCCAATGGCTAGTGAGACTAGGATCTCCTCTAAGGATAGAAAATAGATTACTCATAGCATAGGTAGGAATGCCTAGAGCAGGTCATATCCAATTAATGTCCTCTAGTAATTTTTGAAAGTCATTTAATGTTTTCAATTGATAAGTCTGGAAAATTGTTGGACTGTTTAACAGGCAGTCCTAGCTGTAATGTCCCCATAGGTTGTATAACTGAATTAATGGCTCTTAAGTCAGTTAACATTCTCCATTTACCTGATTTTTTCTTAATCACGAAAACTGGATAATTCCAAGAGGAAAATGTTGGAGCTATGTGTCCTTTTCCTAATTGTTCAGTAACTAAGTTCTGTAAAACCTCCAGTTTCTCTTTACTCAGTGGCCATTGTTCTATCCAAATTGGCTTATCTGTTAACCATTTTAAAGGTATAGGTTCTGGAGGCTTAACAATGGCTGCTATCAAAAATGATATCTTAAACCTTGGTGGAAACTTTGTGTTTCCACTTGAAGCGTTCCTTCAAACCTTGCAAATTTTTTCCTAGTCCCGTACCAGGGACGTACCCTATTTCATGCATCATATGTTGACTCTGAGGGCTATATAATTGCTCTGGAATTAGAACTTTTGCTCCCCATTGCTGTAATAAATCTCTCCCCCATAAATTTATAGGTACAGAAGTTACAGTTGGTTGAATAGTCCCAGGTTGTCCCTCAGGCCCTTCACAATGAAAAATATAACTACTTTGATATACTTCAGGGGCTTTACCAACTCTAACTGTGTTAAATTGAGTGGGTTGAATTGGCCACATGGATGACCAGTGCTGTAGAGAAATGATTGAAATGTCCACTCCTGTATCTACCAAACCTTTAAATTTCTTTCCCTGAATAGTTATTTCACAGGTAGGACATTGATCAGTAATTTGATTCACCCAATAAGCTGCTTTGCTTTGTTTATTTGTGCTTCCGAATCCTCCTGCTCATTTAATTTCACTTTTCCCCATTTTCACATACGGCAAAATCAGAAGCTGTGCTATATGCTCTCCTGGCTCTGCTTCCAGGGAACAGAAGTAGATATAACAATTTGAGTTTCCCCATTGTAATCTGAATCAATGACTCCTGTTTGTACTTGCACTCCTTTTAAATTTAAACTAGATCTACCTAGAAGTAATCCTACTGTCCCCGCTGGCAACATCTGACTGGAGACAGCAACATTCTTTAACAGTCCCATTACAAAAGGAGAACCTGGTCCATATTGATTAATAGCTTGCTTAAATTTTTTGAGTAATTTAAAAGGAACAGGCTGAAATATAGCTGTAATATTTCTCTGTTGATCTGGGAGGTGTATTTCAACAGGGAACTGCCAAGCCTCTATATCACCCTCTCATCCAGCTTGCTGGATTCCTGACTGAATAGAACTGAGAGGGATCGCTCAAGGCAATGCTCGAACAGTCACTGGGGCAACTACTTTTCACCCAGTGTCCTCCAGAAAAGAAAGATCTGGAGGGTCAGGCCACTCCTTTTCTTCAAAATAATTAAGAGGTGCAGAAGGGTAGGGATGAACCTCTTTCTCCTTTGCTGCGTTAGCTTTAGCTGGCAAACAAACCTGCTCTGTCACCTCTTCTGTTACTTCGTTATACTTTGCTTCCTCCTCATTATTAGTGTGAAAAGGTTCCAAGGTGGAATGAACCAGAACCCACACTTGTCCCATTATTACCCTGATGCTTCCGAGCTCCCCTTCTTACTCACCATGGGGATTGCTTAAGGGTACTCTGGTGTCCTCCAGTTTAGTTCCACATTCTCCAACCATTGCTCTGGTGACCCTTCGACCCAGGTTTGAGCCCTACGCATGGGCACCACTTGCCGAGACCAGCTAGGTCGTGGAGACCCTAACCTAGCAGTGCTAGAGGAATTAAAGGCACACACACACACACACACACAAATATAGAGTGTGGAGTGGGAAATCAGGCGACTCACAGCCTTCAGACCTGAGAGCCCTGAACAGAGTTTGACCCACATATTTAATGACAGCAAGCCCATGATAAGTATTATTTCTATAGATTATAGATTAACTAAAAGTATTCTTTATGGGAAACAAAGGGATGGGCCGAAACAAAGGGATGGACTCTGGCTAGTTAGGAATATGTCCTTAAGGCAGGAACACGTCCTTAAGACACAGATCGCTCATGCTATTGTTTGCTGTTCAGGAACGCCTTTAAGTGGTTTTCAGCCCTGGGTGGGCCAGGTGTTCCTTGCCCTCATTCCACCGACAACCTTCAGCGTGGGCGTCATGGCCATCACGAACATGTCACAGCGCTGCAGATATTTTGTTTATGGCCAGTTTTGGGACCAGCTTATGGCCAGATTTCAGGCCTGTTCCCAACAATATGGAACCAAAAAAGAGCCTGCATAGCCAAATCAAGATTAAGCAAAAAGAACAAATCTGGAGGCAACACATTACCCAACATCAAACTATACTACAAGGCTATATTTACCAAAAGAGCATCATATGATACTGGAATAAAAACAGGCATGTAGACCTATGGAAGAGAATAGAGAGCAGAAAATTAAAACCAATCCTTACAACCAACTCGTCTTTGACAAAGCAAACAAAAGCATAAAGAGGGAAAAGACACCCTATAAGACACCCTATTCAACAAATGGTACTGGGATAATTGGCAAGCCACATGTAGAAGAATGAAACTGGATCCTCATCTCTCACCTTATACATAAATCAACTCAAGATGGGTCAAAGACTTAAATCTAAGACCTCAAACCATAAAAATTCTAGAAGGTAACATTGGAAAAACCCTTCTAGACATTGGCTTAGGCAAAGACTTCATGACCCAGAACCCAAAAGCAAAGGCAACAAAAACAAAGATAAATAAATAGATGGGAGTTAACTAAACTAAAAAGCTTCTGCACAACAACAGAAATAGTCAGCAGAGTAGACAACCCACAGAGTGGAAGAAAATCTTTATAAACTATGCATCCGACAAAGGACTAATATCCAAAATATACAAGGAACTCAAAGAAATCAGCATGAAAAAAAAATTATCATCAAAAAGTGGGCTAAGGACATGAATAGAGAATTCTCAAAAGATGATATACAAATGGCCAACAAGCATATGAAAAAGTGCTGAACATTATTAATTATCAGGGCAATGCAAATCAAAACCACAATGCAATAACAACTTATTCTTGCAAGAATGGCCACAATTAAAAAAAAATAGATGTTGGTGTGGATGTTGTAAAAGGGAACACTTTAACACTGCTGGTGGGAGTGCAAACTATATATAAATATATATAACTATATATATATACACATAACTATATACATACATAACTATATATACATAACTATATATACACATAACTATATATATATATATATATATATATATACACGCACACACACACACACACACCGTGGAATACTACTCAGCCATATAAATGAATAAAATAATGGCATTCACAGCAACCTGGATGGAGTTGGAGACCATTATTCTAAGTGAAGTAACTCAGGAATGGAAAACTAAATATTGTATGTTCTCACTTATAAGTTGGAGGTAAGCTATAAGAAAGCAAAGGCATAGAGTGATACAATGGACTTTCAGGATTGGGGGGAAGGGTGGGAGGAGATGACGGATAAAAGACTATACATTGGGTACAATGGACACTCCTCGAGTGATGGGTGCATCAATATCTCAGAAATCACCATTAAAGAACATATCCCTGTATCCAAACACCACCTGTTTCCCCAAAACCTATTGAAATAAAAAAAATTGTACAATTTACCTGCTTCAGAGCCATTAGATTCTATGTAAGGCCTGGGGATATGTGGAGTTAGTTAGCCATACCCCCTGGTCATGTTGGAAAGAGTCAGACTTTATTTGCACTTCTGTCAGGAGTCCTAGGCTCCACAACTAGTACATAATTAAAGTCACCACGTTTTTTACCAAGAATAAAAATTGCTAGTTAACATTGTCAAATGTAATTAAAACTACTTAAAAAACAGTTTTACATGTAAGGTATGTGAGAAAAGTAAGATGTGCTTTTAGTAAAAGATTGTAAGAAGGCATGGGAATTTAAATTTTTGCCTAGTTTAAACTGTTAAAGAATTATTTAAAATTAGATAAAATAAAGCTAAAAGTTTGAGCAAGTTGTAGAAGATTTGCGAAAAAGTAATCTTGTAAAAAATTATGTGTGTGAACATATTGGCTAAATTTAAAGGGGTATTACTCAGTTTTTCTGTAAATTGAACATTGGAATATAAGCATAACAGGGTTTTCTTAGAGCACTGATCTGGTCTTTAACAAAAATTTGCAAATGGTTATAAATAAAATATTTATGGAAATCTCACCTTATGCTCAAACTAATTAAGATTGGATAGATTTGTCTATAAGGTTTTATTAAAAATTGGGGTTAACATTAACGGTACACTAATGCAATAATGAAATTTGGCTTTCTCTCTTGAACAAGATTTTTATGTAATATTAAAGAATAATAAAATATTTTTATTTGCCTTTAAATAAGCTGCAGGTAAAATAGGGGAAAGAAAAGAGACAATTTGCTTGAAAAGCTAAGTGTTCCCTCTATAGAGTAAAGATTTTTTCTTTTTAAAAATTTTTGAGTCATCATTTTGGCTAAATAAATAACTTATGGTGACCTGAAATTCTATTTTATAATATTAAGGGTTTTAAATCTTTATCATATTTAACAGGCTTCCTCAAATCAAATTTCAGCTTCATTGTCTTTTTTAACCTCTCATTTTTGGGTGCTACAGGGGGCCCCTACAGCATCCCAAAGAGAGGTAAACAAGATTATTTGACATGTTAAGTTACATGGGAAACACTGTCAAAATAAAAAAAGTTTAAAGTCCTTCAGGTTATATTTTAGTGAGAAACATTAATATATGTTCCAAAATTATATGAGATTTCTGGAATTCTAATATGTCTGAGTATATGCTATCAATCATAATTATGGTTATTAAGTTATTGTATACCACAGAAATAACCAAATTTGTTTGTCAATTGTGTCTTTCACTATAACTATTTAAAGTCATTTCCACAGTTAATTACTTAATTCTGATGCAGTTTCTGAAATCTTTACAAGTACCCAAGATCCTAGGAGGTTCATGAAAGAATGGAAAGGACCCTGAAAAGCACTCTTGAATACAGGTTTCTGGTAATTTAAAAATCGTATCATCTGGACTGGGTAAGAATTCCTAGAACTTTAATGAGAAGACTGGTTTATAAAACAGCTAACCCAAGAACAAAAATTAATTAAATACCAAGAAAATACTTTGCCAGATTTTCTTGATATATTGGCTGATACTGAAATTGTTTAAATACGCAATTTAAATGAACTCCATGGTCTAAGTCAAATAACCTACAATAACCTATCAGTTATCAGTCCTATACACTTAAATTGGAGAGACACCTGGTACTCAAGAAGACATAATCTCAATGTTAAGCATAGACTCATCGACAACCAGAACAGCCACCTTGTCCTTCCTGACTCCTTAAAGTTTTGTTATTAAATGTTCTGCATTTCATGACTCATCATGGAAAAAAATAAAATGATCCAAAATAAATATATGTGGGTGTTATAAATTTCTATATTGTTGAAATAGTTTATCTCCAATGTTTGGTGTGGCAAACCCATATTCCTGGGAAGAGAGTCAAAACTTCAGGTATAGTCAACTACCTGATGTGCCATTTAAACATGTATAGAGGGATTTCATTCAATTATCATTTTCAATGCATGTTTTCTGGTTGTATAAAAGTTTTCCCATGTAAGAGAGCTGATGTTATAACAGTAGATTATTATGCCACAGTGTATTTTCACCAAGTAAAAAAAAAATAGTATTTTATGGTTCACTTACTGAGGACAATTAATCCCTTCACAATCTAAAACCTAAAGATCGAATCTTCTAAGAACATCAGGGAAAGACTGCCCTTGCCATCCACACTACAGCAAAACTTTGGGACCTTAAACTTTGGGTGTATAATCTCACTACCGAGAAGGCCCCCTCCACACTCTTGGAATGGTACACCCATTGGAAACCTTAAGGTAAAGCTAATCAGGGAAGTTCCTCCCCAGAAGAAGATGACATTCTTTATATGAACAGTTTTTTCCAGAATCATAGATCAAGACTTCTCTACTATCATGAGACCCTTATCTTTGAAAATTTTCTCCCTTTCTTATGCCTCTATAAACAATAGAAGTGAAAGGGGGGTGTGTTATGTGCACTCATTGAGTATACTTTTATTTGTAAAGAATTTTGCAGCCAGTCTTATATGTGGATAACTTTGTATCTTAATTCATAAAAGATAAAGGCCCAATGTAGGTAAGAAACTTTAATGGTACATACATTACCTAATAATCAGTCAAAAACAGAACATTGGTTCATTTCCATTAACCCTATCATGGGTTAAAAAGAACATTGCCAGGAGGTCTTGACTTTCCTAAAAGGGCATCATTTGTTAGTTTGTTTTTTTTCCCCATGGTTGGAGTAGAAGAGTCAATAATTAGAAATGTGTTCCTCACAACAGGTGCTATAGCAGATTCCACTGTAAAGGCTATGGTTACACAACAAACTTTAAATTCTCTTGTGAAAGTTATGCTAGAATTGCTGTGGATTACTTACTGGCTAGACAAAATTATCTGTGCAGCTGCTGGCACTTGTGGCCTATGGAGAAATATATCAAATGTAAATTATAAAGATTCAGTTGTAGGGGATTAACAAGAAGACTGCTTAGTTAAGCGAGTAGTCCTTTTATCTAGCTTATTCATTAATCTATCAAATTTTAGGTGATTTTAGTTTATGGGGACCTTGGGTATGAAGCATACTCCAAACTCTTGGTATTATCCTCCTGATAGACATCAGAGTAGTCTCCCTGGTGCGCTCTATTCTCTCCAAAGTTTTAAATGTTTGCATGCAGCCATCTCTAAAATGTCAAATGGTCTCTCTTCAACTGGAGTAACAAAAGCTGAAAAAAATGTGTAACCACGAGAGCACCATAACCTATAAATAATGTGCTAAAGCCAGAAACTGAAAATAATGGTAACTAAGGGTGGCACTAAGGCCCTAAGGTTTGGTCAAACTCTTACCTAAGTGAGAACCCAACTAGAAAGGAGAAATTTATAAACAAAATTATAGGAGGCCATTGTTTTGGAGTGAGCTCATGCACTATGCCCCAACAGACCAGATCAAAGAAAAATGGAGTCACTCATGTTAAATGTTGCATGATCAAACTTAGACTTTAAGAAAACACATAGATGCAAAAACATATCAGGTTTTGTTTTTCTCCTGTAAACGGGATGTTTGAGCATAAGAAGGTACAGTCTTTGCTCCTACCTTACAAAACCCACTCAGTTTATAAACTCACAATTGAGAAGGGCCCCTTCACACTCTTGGACATCAATGAGTAAAGTTTTGGTCAATGACATCAAAGTGACATCAATGACTAAAGTTTTGGTCAATCTCTCAAAATTGAGAAGATGACCAAAAGGGGGGAATTGTTAAATCAAGATTAGCCTAAAGCTGCCTCCTTACACATTTTAAGTTCTGCCTAAAATTTTTTCTGTACATCATGAACTATAACAAGTGGAATTGTAAACAGACCATAGCCTACACTTGTGCCAATCACCGAGTTTTGGCCTATCAAATGTTGCCAACTCTTTGAACCATGTTCAAATAAGACAAACCTCGAGCTGTAACCAACCCAGCTGTTTCTGTATGTCATTTTCCTTTTTCTGTCCATAAATCTTCTTCCACCACGTGGCTGCCCTGGAGTCTCTGAGCCTACCCTGGCTCAGGAGGCTGCCCAATTCACGAATTTTTTATTGCTCAATGAAATTACTTTAAATTTAATTCTGCTAAAGTTTTTTTTTTTTTAATTACTGGCAAAGCTGCAGAGAAAAGGGAATACTTGTAGACTGTTGATAGGAATGGCAAATTAGTTTAGCCACTGTGGAAATCAGGTTGGAAATTTTTCAAAGAACTTAAAACAGAATTACCATTTGACCCAGTAATCCCATTATTTGGTATATATCCAAGAGAAAACAAGTCATTCTACCAAAAAGTCACATGGACTTATATGTTCATTGCAGTGCTGTTCACAATAGCAAAGACATAGAAGCAACCCAGTTGCCCATCAACTCTGGATTGGATAAAGAAAATGTGGTACATATACACCATGAAATACTATGCAGCCATAAAAAGAATGAAATCATGTCCTTTGCAGCAACATTTATGCAGCTGGAGGTAATCATCCTAAGCAAATTATCATAGAAATGGAACACTCAATACCACGTTTACTCACTTATGAGTGGGAGCTAAACAATAGGTACTTTTGGACATAAAAATGGCAACAATAGACACTGGGGACTACTAGAGGAGGGAGAGGCAAGAGTTGAAAAACTAGCTATTGGATAACATGCTCAGTACGTGGGTGACGGGATCAATCATACCCCAAACCTCAGCATTATGCAATATATCCAGATAACAAACCTACACCTGTACCCCCACTGAATCGAAAATAAAAGGTGAAATTATTCTTAAAAAATAAGTAAAAATAAAAAATACTGTTCCTCCTTCACTCACAATCTAGTAGAAGAAACATGCATATGAATAACTAAACTAAAATATAGCATAATATGTATGTGTATGTGAAGCATCAGGCCTTTGTTAGCATCAGCTGGGATATTCAACCCCAACTACCCACTGGAAGACGCTGTATCTTGCCTACCCAAGGGCTAGGGGCAACAGCCTTGATTAATCGCACCCAGAGGCCTGCTGAATTTGGCTACAACACTTGAGTGCAAACAGTGGATTAGTTTATCCTAATGCCATATATATGTGGTGCGAGAGCCTGCAGAGCCTTTTGAAATGTGACGCCCCATCGTCACCATTGCCTCATTAATATACAATTATAGAAAAGTATCATGGTGACAGGTTGCAAAATCATTATACTTTTGCTAAACAGTTCTTTCTCATGATTTGAAGAGGATCCAATCTGAATTTTGCAAAACATAGCTACTAATGTAACAAACACTGTTTGGCTTGTGTATGGGTTCCCTTTAAAGAAAACCAAATACAATGTTAGCATAGGTACAGCAGTGAGTAACTTTTCTACTTCAACTTGGGTCTTACTGAGAAACCAATGACTCTTCCAAAAAGTAATCTATTTGTTGGTGTTTTTATTAAGTAATTTTTTTCTATAATTTACAATTATCAATAAAGAAGAAAATCAGTCTGATTAGACAGTGTAATTGGTAGAAAGGTCACAAAATCTTTATGTCACAAAGGAAATGGTGAAAACGCAATTTCAGGCAAAATTGAAATAATTGTAAAGTTCTAAAACATCAACATGTTCTAAAAAATGATCATAAAAATGAAAGATAGACTGAATTATGTATTCAATAAAAAATCTTTAAATACATTAACCTTCAATCATTGTAAACTCATGATTTTATTACTTTTCAGTTCTAGTAAAAATTTGAACTATTTATACCATTCTCTACAACCAAGATATTACGTTATACTTTATCATGTGCATAAGTATGTGACCTTCAATCCAAAATCAAAATTCTGCCACTTTTAACAACAATTAAAATATAATAACTTGATCAAAAAGTACTATAATTTCAAGGTTTTCTATTCTATTTAACTTTAAAATTTGTGACTCTCAGGCAGTTTAAAAGATAAAGCCAATAGACATGTAGATACATTTCAGCTAAGTAGAAAGATCCTGTAACCATTTTTGTACATCTGCTGACTATAATGCATGTATACATATCAATATGCAGTACAAATTTGTAAACATGAACATTTGAAACTTTGAAAGGAAATTATTCTAGTCTTTTTCCTGTCAGTATTTTATTGAAACAGCATGTCAAAAGTTGGCCAGCACCACACATGTAAATAGTTTTAATACTGAATATGTTTCCAGTGTTCTGTGTATCTATTTGTTCTGTTTTATGTTGTCAACAAACCCATGTTTATTTGCACAGTTTTAATACAAATTATCATTTAATTGCAGGCCAAACTTAAGAAGATTAAATGTATACCAAGGCATTTATATGAAAGCAACTGCCTAAGCTATGTATTTGGTTGGTTTTAAACTGCTCCAATAAACATGCTAAATTCTAGTGAAGTCAATTGGTAAACTGTTGCTTTATAACACAATATTATGGTTACTTTGGCTAATTAAAAATTTTTCAGCACAAATGCAACATATCTCTAAATCTGAGTAAAAATATTATACTCTCACCCTGCCAATTCAATTCATAAAGTACAGTACATGCAGTTGGACATTTCTACGTGTGTTTAAATTTGCCTTTCCCCAAAAGTATCTATAACTAATAGCATAAGTATGTAACGACTAGGTGTTCTTTTTAGCATCTCTTATTAGGGAGGGGTGGGAGAAAAAGCAGAACACTGTAAATTATTTAATAACAAAACAAAACTAAAACACCGATTCTATGTGTGTGTGTGTGTGTATACACACACGTTACAGTGTGACATCTGGAATTTATCAAACTGCATATTCAGATAAGGAAGAGATTTGTTAGTGAGATTTAGTAAAGAAATAATGACCGCCTACTACCCTACTGTATACATATAATTTGATTATCTTAAAGCATCTAAATTTTGTAATTAGCATGTTTGTAGACCTTTGTAAAATATATTTTTTATTTTATTGTAAAATATATTTTAAATACTTATACAAAACATTTGTTTCAGTCATGTTCTTGTTCAGCATTACACCAGTAATACTTAAAATATATGTATCACCTGGTTTATGTGAGCCACGGCTTATTCCTAGGGTGCATAATAAAAAATGATTAGGAGAATAAAAGGGAAGTCTTCCATAATGGAATGGTTCACTGAATCATCACTTGCTGATTTAATTTTTCATCTCTTTTCATCCCACAGACATGCTTCAACCTCACAAAAGAATGAGGTCTATTCCATTCCCAGAGTATGTGTAGAACCTATGTTTAATAGCAGTGAAATATCATGAGTATCTGTCTTCATAAACTGAGGAAAATAAACCTCCTCATTTTCGAGCACAATGAATAGGAGCAATGATATATGTGAGTTTGAAGGCTCTAAAATTATGTAACATAAGGTTATATATGATACTTTAAAATGTAATTTCCAGAGGGCTTAACCCCCCTGTGGGTGAAAAGAAATAATAGTATTAGAGTTTGATGTCTAAATTATATTACCTAAAGCTATATATTGGTCTTTAAAGTGTAATGAATAGAGAATTTATCTACTTAGATATGTGTTTTGTAACCAGGCTCATACTTTAAGTCCTTGATTTCAGCTTGACTGATGGTTCCACAAAATAATACCTTCCTGACCAGAGAATCTGACTACAGGTCTGAGCCTCACTGGGGACTGTACAAGGGTAAAGTACCATTCATTTATTTTCTGACTCAACATACAAATTTCACAGAGTTAATGAAATGCTTACTTTCCCTATATTTATTTGTGGTAAGTCATATAACCAGGTCAGGTTAAGAATCAGATTTCATAAATTTAGTGAGCTGAATTAAGGAGGAATATAAAAAGAAGTGGTGCCCATATATGTATGGTCAAATCAGATGGAAATAGAGGTTTTAATTGTTAGATTTGGGGGTCTATTAAGTATCATTTGGCCACTTTTATCAGCTATTTCACACTTAGTCCAACAAGAGTGGCTTTGTATTTTTGTAGATTTCTAAAGCAAGTCTAACTTTTAGCTGATGCAGGTGAAAGTGATAGAATTACACATTATTTTGTTTTTCATTTCATAACCATAGCATCAATTTACCCAGTTACTCAAATTTTGCACCATCCGTTGAGGAGTAAGAATTTATTAAACAAAAAATGGTTGAAGGCACTAAATATTTACTGTGCATTAATTAGAGCTGTTAGAAGATTTCTGCAAATGAGTCACTTACTTAGAAGCAGGGGACTACTTACTGAATCTCTTGAGGTTTCTTCCAAGTCTAATTATCCATGAAGGCTTTCCCTTGTTTCCTTCTTCAATTAAAACTACAAAATGACAATTTATGAATATTATTTAATGTAGCTAAACATAAATGTTTACCTTCTTGTATTTAAACGTTTTCCCCTTTATGTTAATCACCATTACCAATGTAATTACCAATGTAATTACATATTAGTAGTTGTATATAGGTAATATATAGTCATATTATCTGAAACATACAGCATAGGGTATATGTATTCTGGAGAAGCTCCAAAATTAATCCGTTCTTTTAAATAGTCACTAAAAAGTAACCCAGATATCTCTTTGATTTTTCAGTTAAATACTTTCTCTTGCCAATTACTGATGTTCTCCCATGTAGACCTCCGAATGTTTCATTTATAATCTGATATAAGGGTTTCTGCTGAAAAAGTAACAATCCATTTTACTAATTAAAGTTAGCCTTTAGCTTTCCTGTTTTGGAGTAGACAAAAATAAAATGTCTTTTCTTATTTTAATTTCTTGTTTAATAAACCTGGGTAGTATACATTTTATTCCTTAAAGACTTTTGCAACAGTATCTAATTACATTAGATCACAAATAATACTTCATCTTGACTAGAATACTTAATTTGAATGCAATCATGTGGCATCCTATCCCTACTCCCAGGAGTGGGGATAATTTTAATACATATAGAGGAAGGCACATTTATAAGGCATATTTGAGATGAAATAATCATTTTGAGCAGAATAAATAATTAATATGCTGTTCTTTATATGTGTTGGAAAAATTAGAAAAATCAGTTTAGCAGTTTGCTTAGTTTGTCAAAAGTCAAGTCATTCCATTGTGATATTAAAGGGCTTGGCTTAATAAAATGTCTAGAGTTACTAGCATAAAACTCAAAATCTGATTCATCTTAAAGATATACAGGCTGTATATAGGTTATACCTCATAATTATTTTCAGAAATTTAGGGCCTGGTGAAAGGAAACTTTTCAACTTCATAAACTTAAATAAAAGATTATTCTACTTTTGTCTAGTTTAATTCACTATGATTGACACACAAGAGTGGAGTTAAATCATACCAGAATAATGATATTTTCATATTTATGGATTCAAATGTATTCTCCCTCTTGTAATCATAATGTCTTTATTTTCTTACAAAACTATAATAATACGTTTTTTTCTAATAGTGTATAAAATACCAGAGGTGTTAAAGGAATAAATGAACAAGTTTTATCTAGGAATTATCCAAAAATAAAAGAAAATAAAAGCAAATTTATTTAGAGTGTTTTACTTTTCATTTGATCTTTGTGTTCCTTCAAGATTAAATGGTCTTTAGGCTACAAAGATAAATAAAATATAATACTTGAAAGTTTGTGTCCTTATTTGTATCTTAAATTGAGATTAGTAGTTTCTTCAACAGCAAAGTATAAAGGCATGAGGCAAACAAATAATTAAATTTTCTTCTACAACTACTAGATAATTACATGAAAGCCGATCTTCATTTTTAAAACTGAAATTGCTTCACTGCTTTCATGAGAATTACATCCATCTTCTTTTTGTCATTGTCAATGTGTAAAATGCAGTTAACGTGGTGAACTAGCTTCAGTATAATTGAAAATCCCATCACTTAGCATCAATTTTCACTGGTGGAGTATCATCAAATAATATTTATTGCATATCTCATTTTGAAGCTCAAGGCCACTGTAATCAGAGATTCCTGTAGGTTTCATTTGACATTATAAACAACTCTTCATGAATATTATTTGATAAGGCACTTTAAATCTTTAAATGTATAACAAAGAAATACTGTATTGTAATGATGCTTTTTAAGCCCAATAACTGTTGAAATTTCTTTGGCTACAAATAAAGAAAATATTTGTTTACATGTAATTGTTCTAGAAATGCTATTGTCTTACTAAAGGTAATGGTTAATTGCTGGATACCAATGAACATGATTACATTTGCCTTCTCCAAAAGAAACTTGACTGTCGTCATTCACTTTAAGATGGTTGGAACCACTTATCAGTCTAGATGGCATAGAGAAATTGTATCTATAAAAGTCATAGGAAGGATGAAAGGAGCAACTAAGTGCTTCTGGGGTGATGGAGTTTGGCAGAAAAATATTTCCAGGTGACTGTAATCCATATAACATTTGATTGGTAGAATTAGGTGCTTGTAGATACTGATCACTGGAGTCTTCAGATGAACCGCTTTTTGAATTGGTGACCCCCAGGGAAGATAACATAGGCACTTCCATCATGAGTGGGGCTAAAGACTGAGAACTGTTGCTGCTTGCTAGTCTTTCAGGAGCCGGTAAAACAAGAGGTTGCTGTTGCCAAAAATTAGTTGGACAAATCTTGTAGCATAGAGGCAGGTTGACATTGGGCAGGTATGCCTCTGGACAGGGCATTCCAAGGGAGCTTGTAGGTAAATGAAACATAGGTGAAAAGCAAAGTGGAGAAAGTAAGGAGTTCAAAGGAGAGGGGGCCCCTCCACTAGAGGTCACTGGAGATGAGCCACTGCTTCCACCTGTGAATGACAATTCAGCCAATGAATAATGAACTTGACATTTGATGTTCCTGCAATATTAGTAATCATATCCTTCACTATCTGTGCTTCATCCTTAGATTAATTTTCCTTGTGAGTTCACAGTTCTTTTAGCTTCTTTGAGACAGGACCTGCTCATTCCTCTGACTAAAGTTGAATATAGTATCTATACTAGGTATCGCTAATGCCTGGGTTACCCACTGGTACAGGTCTGTAGCCTGTTATGAATCAGGCTGGACAGCAAGAGGTGATCAGCAGGCCAGTGAGCATTACCTCATTGCCTGAGCTCTGCCTCCTTTCAGATCAGCGGCAGCATTAGATTCTCACAGGAGCGCACACTCTATTGTGAACTGTGCATGTGAGGGATCTAGGTTGAGTGCCCTTTAATGATAATCTAATGCCTGATGATCTGAGGTGGAACAGTTTCATCCCGAAACCATCCCCTCCCAACCCCCACCATTCGTGGAAAAATTGTCTTTCACAAAACTGGCCCCTGGTACCAAAAAGGTTGGGGACCACTGATCTATACTACTACCACTATTACTTTTAGCACTACTACCATGTATCATGTATTAAGCATTCATTTGCTCAAATACTGTGCTAGGCACTTGAACCACATTTGTACAAAGAATTACAAAGAAGTCCAATTATGACTTAGCGTCAATTATATCTTACAAACACAAACTAGTTTTATTATTTTAAAACCTTAAAATGTTACTAAAATAAGTAGTTAAGATGCACAAATTGATTGGTTGTTTGGGATTATATAGATTTAGTTTATAGATAGAATGTATAGATTTCATGTACGTTGATTTTTTAAATTCCTCTGACCAAAGGTACACTGATTTAAAAAATTCCTCTGACCACTGATTTAAAAAATTAGTGAACATGAAAATAGTCTTGTATAAATGAAAGCAATATATTTAAAAGCCTTAGCTTTTTTTCTTATACAAAAACAATGAATGGGGCAATTTCCATACTGCATTATATCTTAAGAGTTGGAAATAATTTTGCAAGTTAAGAAATATAAGGATGAATGTAAGTGTTCATATCAATGACGTTTGCTGATTTTTTATGTTTGCCTAGCATCTACTAAAACTAGGGATAATTATAAGGTCCAGGAAACGCTAAACTCTAAAGCTTATTTTTGTAAATGTCTGAATTCAAACAATTGGTTATTGGCTGGATTTGACCAAGTTGTTTCTTTTTTAGTGTTGCTGTTTTCTTAACTATTTTGTGTATGTAGACGTATCCTAAACCTTCATCAACAAGATGGCAAATATCTTTTATAATAAAGCATTTAAAAGTTATTTAAGAAACTAGTAGCTCATTTATTTGCAATTTGAGAGCATTTTGGATATGTTAAATAATTAAGAAAACTGTGTACTTTAAATTATCATTTCATGATCATCTTTAACTTTTTCTTTATTAGTGCACATTTGTTTTGACTTGGATATTTAAAAGTATGCTTTCTAGATGCTATTAGTTAAATCGACACTGTAAAATAAGTGTTTTTTTTTTCATGCAATTCCCTAAACCACATCAAGACAGCCATTCCAGTGAAATATTTCACCAAATGATTAGACTTCACTTCTTCCCTTTTCAGTTAGTTGTTATGGCATCATGTAAAACTCAACCTAACTATAATGTTGGTTTTGCTTGGCAATTGTAACCTTGAATTAATGGTCAAAGACAAGCAACTTCGATGGAGTAAAGACAAAGGGATAAAAAAAATCCATGTCATTTTCAAATAAAAATTATTCTATTTATTATTAACTATCAGAGCAAATTAAGGTATCCTTCCACCAGAAAGCCTGCATTATTTAATTATTATTATTTTGTCATGTAATGTACCATCTGAGGATAAATATCTTGCAAATATTTTTAAATGCTTGTGGCAATTAAATTGTGAAGACTTAGTATTATTTTTAACATTTACTTTCCCCATGAACAAAAAAGAGGAAAATTAGAGCTCAGTGATGAATTTAATGAAAGTCATTTTAACATGTACTGAAAGGTCCTCATAAAAGATAAACTATTCATTTCAATAGTAACATATTTGCAAATCAGGCTGCAAATGCACCACAGGCATATCCTAAAGAATGTGAAACAGTGAGAGGCTGAAAAATCCAGATGAAATCTGAAAATCACAGGGTGTAAGATAACTTATTAACATATGTCAATAAGTCTACAATTATCACATTTCTATTCTCTTCCTTCATGCCAGCTTCTCTCCCTTTATGCCTCTTACCTCGTCATTCAGGCAAATGTACACGCAGTTACCCATAAGTACACATTTTCTTGCATGTACATATCCCCTTGTGTAGTATTTGGTACAAGGGTTCCGGATGTTGTTATTTAATTGATATGTAAAAATAAAACAAACGTTCCAAGTTTTCTTACTTTGTGTGTCTGCGCCAAAGGTTTTAAAATCGAGAGTGAAAGAAGGCCTCCATGGGTAGGTCTCTAAAAGCCCATCCAATACACCCCTAAAAAAGAGAGTCAACTTTCAGCATCCCCAGAATGCAATTTCTGAAAATAATGATTTTGAGTTATTTTGCTATATCTTTCAGATGTAACTATTTTAAATATTTCTCTTTTATATAGCTAGACTTCTGAATAAAATTCAGTCAAACCTAGAATTCTAAAATAAGCAAGGTCTTAATAGTGAGTAGCAAAGGAGTGGGAGGAAGTAATGTTTTCAACACAAAACATCTGGGTTCCTTTCTTACCACCTACTAATTACAAAACTTAGAGCTTTTGAGTCTCTGAGTCAGTTTTCTTATCCTTAAAACTTGTGGGGGACCAGGTGCAGTGGCTCACGCCTGTAATCCCAGCACTTTGGGAGGCTGAGGCGGGCAGATCACGAGGTCAGGTGTTCAGGACCAGCCTGACCAATATGGTGAAACCCCATCTCTACTAAAAATACAAAAATTAGCCAGGCCTGTTGGCACATGCCTGTAATCCTAGCTACTTGGGAGGCTGAGGCAGGAGAATTGCTTGAACCAGGGAGGTGAAAGTTGCAGTGAGCTGAGATCGTGCCATTGCACTCCAGCCTGGGCAACAGAGTGAGACTCCATCTCAGGAAAAAAAAAAAAAAAAAAACTTGTGAAAATAGCTAGCTACATCAATATTAGATGTCATTGCTATGCTGCTTACCTGTTTCTTCCAGTATCTCTAAATCCTTTAGCAAAAGGATTTCTTTCTATTTTTAGTTTCGTAATCTATGGATTCAATAGAGAGAGAAAGATAAAGTCATTGCTTTCAGTAAGAACACTGTTGCCATTGCTTATAGTGGTTACAACCACCAGAAGAGATGTTGAAACACGTTAATATGACAATTTAAATAAATGTAACCATATTGCAAGTCATATTTAGAATGGTTAGCTCCTATTTATAAATCATTACTTTTATAAATTACCTTCTGGAGTTGCCTTCTCCCATAAGATTTATACAATTCATTATCAAACTTGCATGGATGACAATACAATAAAACTATGATTTTTATTTAGAATTGTGGAAAATGCAATTGATGGCAGTTAGCCTCTATGCCTCTAATCCAAGGTCCCTCTGGAGCCATTTCCATTCGCCTGAGACATGACCAAGTTTACCTGTTGGTTTTGGTAAGCCGTTACTGTGGTGAACTCAGTTTCTTTAAAGGAGAATGTTTTAACACCTTCAGTGGGCAAGGACTGAATCTGGGACAGGTCAACACTGCTGCCTTGCTCTATCACGTGCACTCGGGGTTTGTACTTATGCATGGATTGCAGAATGATCTGGAGGAGAAATGATCAATGCTGTTAGAAAAACTGGCTTCAGTCCCAAACCCTAGTTCCCTCTCCTGACCACCTCCACCATGTGCACACAAAAAGGCAATGATGAAGCTTAGGTAACTACTTTGTTGTGCCATTTGGCCTCCAACAGAGGCGCTCCGAGCTAAAAACATTTCCAGAGAAAGACACCTCAGCGGCACCAGTCAGCAGTGATTCCATTTCCAGATTGGGGCCTTTTCCTGCTTCAAACACTGGCGACCATCTGGTGTAGAAGTGGCACTGGGATCTGCTAGCCTGCTACAAGTTCCCATGGCAGTAACTGATAGGCTTGGATATGGTGGGTAACCTGACATACCCTACCTCCTAATCTTGGGAGCTTCCCTCTTTCCTTTTGTAGCTGGCACAGTGCCAGACTGGGGAGGACAGAAGCTGGGGTGCACCTAGTGAGAATGTGCAAGATCAATAGGACCTATGAGGGTAGGTTGTTTGGGAGATTTCCAGGATGCAGTCTGAGATTCCCCCACTTGTATCCTTCCATCACACATACCATACACTGGGTGCCCATCCAACTGCGTGGACTACAGGAAGGCAATCAGAGATCATAGTGATTGCCAAGGAGGCTAAGGTGCCTGAGAACTCCCTGAATGGTTCCCTCCTACTCTCCCAGACCAGGCATTCTGGCTTAAACAGGTCTCCTTCTGTCCTCAAACTCCCTATATTCACCATCCCCAGTCGCCAGCATCTCAGATGCTAAACAAACGTTTCAGGAGCCCTAGGTTAGCTACTTTACTTACAGGTGCAGGGCTTGAACAGTTCCTAAAAAACACAACATGTGCATCTGCAAAAAGCCTCCCTGGCCTCTCCAGGGTGACCAGTGGGCAGGAGCCTTGGCACCTCCCTCCTCGGGGTAAAGGATTGTGCTCACGTACGTGGCCTTTGTCATCCATCTCATTGTTGGTGAGTTTCATGCGATCAAAGCTGATGATCTGCCGCATCCAGGTCTCTCCCGAGCAGGGTGAGTCCGGGTGAACATAGAATCTAGGAATGATGCACAAATGGTCTGTATTCCCAGCTACCATCCACTGTGAGCTGTGATAGACGTACCTGAAAAAACACATGCTGTGGCATTAGGTGCAGCAGGCCAAAGCTGGGAGCTGTTGTGTTCTGTTCCTGAGGACTTCACTCCAGATTAGCCCAGTGATCCCAAGGGCAAGTAAGGAGAAGACTCAACTTAATTTCTAACAAGCATTCGGGGCAAAAAATAAACTGTAAATAAGCATATGTCATCAAAATGCAATGAAGTGCAGGGAAAGTAAAATGTCATGAGATTTCTAAGTCTGATTTGTATTTTCTCACAGAAACCACCACAGAAATTGATCTAACAAATTTTATCTCACAGAGATAATGGAAAAATCCACTAGCTTTGGGTGTGAAGAGTCTGGGAAGAAGTGGAGGGCTGACAAGGATGTCTTGTCTAGGCCACTGTCACCACTCTTTGTGGAAGCCCTTTTGTCAATAAGGCTTCACATCAAGAAAACTCTTAGGAACACAGCCCTGCGCAGCCTCTGGCCGATTTTCACACTATTTCCAATCTCAACTTCCCAGTTTTGCTCTTATTCCCAAGCCAGCTGCAATTTGAGAAGCAAACAGCTTTTTCTGCTGTTTCCATACTGCAGCCCCAGCAGTCCTCTGAGCAGAGCCTTCTCCTTGCTTTCAAAGCTAGCTCTGGTTTTGAGGTGGGCTGTCTCCTTGGAGGACCAGGGACCCACCTCTGGGTCAAATGCTCACAGCCCTAGTGTAAACAGCTGTCACCTCCCCAACCCCTCCAACCCTGAACTGGACCCCAAGCCCCTGAGTCAAAGTGTTGGCAAGCTGGTGTGTCTGGGGTGTATCCCAGAAGGGCTTTTTGGCTTTAAAACAGTTGGGCCACTTTCAGCCTGCTGTAGGTTGAGGGCTTAAATAAAGGGAAAATGATACTTGTACCCTCTAAGACCCAGACATTACTTCAGGGGAAAGGTTAAAGATGGACGAAAAGACAGGCCTAGACACAGGAACGCTTGACTGACCTTGAGTGGCAAATTGATCATCCTTCTGGCCTCCTGCTGCCAAAGCAGCAAAGCTCAGAGCCCAGCATGTCCCCAGATGCCCAGGCTCCCATAGAGCCTGGGGATTTCTCCCACAATTCCTTCAACCCGCTTCCCTTCTGACCACCAGAGCCCACACCCTCTGCAGTTTACACAACCAAGGCCAGAGCAGTGGGTAGGGAGAGGCTTGGGGTACATTTGGAGTTCTAATTAGTGCCCTGAATTCACGGCATTCCAAGAGGGGATGGGGGCAGAGAGAGGAAGAAGGCTTCTCTTCTTTCACTGGGAACCCCAATTTTAATAAGAAAATTCAACTCCTAAAGCCCACAGGAGAGCAATCCCCCACTCCCACCCCCCATGCTAGAGTTTTCAAAGTCATGCTGTCAGGTTTCAGGTCTGAAGGTCCAAATCCCTGGCCCTAGCCTGGGCATAGAGTACCATTCTATGGGGCCCATTACCTATAGCGTTTGGAATCCACCGGCACCACATCGATGGCCACATGGTACTGCTTCCCTGGATCCAACCCTTTCACCTTGACCCGAACAGAGGGGAACATCCGCCTGTAAGAAAGAAAATAAGGACTGACCCAAGAGCTTTTAGAAATGTTTGGAAGAGGGAGTGTTTCTGGACAAATGCTGACTCCAGTAAAAAGTGAAGGGACTCACAATACCCTTCCCTTTTCAAAATAGCAAGGAATAGCATTTGCTACATGAGGAAAGATTGTTGGTTGCATACTTGACCGAACAAGTACGGAATTTCTAAGTGGAGCAGAATATTATTACCACAAGGCTTTGTTCATGTCCCTCCCCAACCATAATAAAAAGCTATAGAAGAGAAAGTATGAGAGAAAAAGCTGTGTCCCAACCTCCTTTTCAAGGGTACTTTCTGTGAGGCAGATTTGTGGAAGGCTGAAATTAGTTAGACTCACAAAATAACCAGCTGCAGTGAAGTGGCTGTCCCATGCCAAAAGGTGGCTATGGGAATGGCTCACCTCAAAATAACCTGGGCCAGGTCTAGCGGGCGCGAGGAACTGTGACATGGGATACTGTCCATGGTTATCTTAGAGGCCTTAACTGAGAGGTCTGGCCACAGTCTAAGACCAAAGTCTGATTTTTGTCTTATACTACACAGGCAGGAGACGGGGAAGTGAGTTATTGGAGTCACAGTGTACAGGAAAGGAAGAATGAGCCACTTACATGGGGCCAGGTAAGTCCGAGCCCTATCAATTGAGGGGCTATGGCTTTCTACTGTATGTCAGGGAGTTGGGGAAAAGGGACAGAGGAGTACCAGAGCATAAAACTGGAGAGTCCTCATCTTACCAGAGCGGTAAATTAAGTGCCTAATGTGTGTGACCCTTGTGAACAGCTTGGGCAGAACCGAACCTGCCCGCTTTAGTAATGATCATCTCAGTCCCGATGTCATGGAATCTTTTCCACAGTTCAGATCCTTGAAGCTCCATTTGAATATCTTTCTCTTCCAGACTTTCAGAGCTGTTGCCGTAGCCGCTGTCGCTGCCGCAGCCAGAGGAAGCAGATGTTGAGGGCTCTGTCTTAGGTTGTTTTTCTGCTGGACACAGAAAGGCGCTCAGGGTTTGAGAGAGCGTCACAGTTCACATGCCCACTTCTCGCTGGTGCCTATCTTGGAGCAGACAGGGCCTTGTCCCTTCCCCAGGAACTTTGGCGACAGATTCCCCAAGCTCCGCATAACACCCTCTGTGGCCGCTTAATGGAGAGAGAGGGGCAGTGAAAGGTGCGACACCCGACACCTACCCCCCGCCCACACCAGCTTTTTTTTTTTTTTTTTTTAGATTTGCCAATCCTCACTCTCCTGGAGACGTTGATAACCGAGACTGGATGCCCTCGGGATTTGGGAACTCGCCCTGCTTCCCATCCCAGGATACAGCAGCCACCCGCTGGCGGTGAGAGCTTTCCGCGAAGGTAGGAGGAGGATGTAGGAGAGACTCACTTCACAATTATGTAGGGACCCTCCCCTTTACCGCAAAGAAACTGCTGTACTCCGGGATGGATTCGGAGGCGCTGAAACTTCCCCTTCACCAGGTGGTCGAGGTGTCTCGCGGCTCCTAATGTGGCTGTCTGGCTGCGTCGGGACGCGAGCCAGGCGGAGAGATGCGGAACCAGTAAGCTCAGGCAACGGGCTCAGGGCAATGGCAGTACTTACCAAGCGGCTCGCTCTTCCCTGCAGCGCTGCTCCTTCTCTCCTCCTCTTCCTCTCCGCCCTTTTTCTCCCGCAGCTCAGGCTGCTCCGCCTGTATTGGGTCTTGGAGTTTTCTTTTGCTGGGTCTCCCCACCAAGGCTTCCACGGAGAAGGCACGCGCCCGAGAGCTCAGAGCCATCCCTGGAGGGGGTGAAGGGATTCTTTGCAGCAAAGTTTCAACCTGAACTGGGTTAGGGAGGGAGGGGGAGACACAGGCGGAGGGCACAGAGGGTGAAGGAAGGAGGGAAAGCGGGAAAAACAAAACAAAACAAAACAAAACCCCAAACCCAAAACCCAAATCTGAAAAACAATTTCTGGATCTGTATTCAAAGAAAATAATTGTGTGTGTGTGTGTGTGTGTGTGTGTGTGTGTGTGTGTGTAATTTTTTTATATACATATATATTTTTTGTTTGAATAGACAAAATGAAAGGAGAGGAAGATCAAACTAGTGTATATGTCCTTCAAAGTCTAGTCTCCCTTCCTCCCAGTGCACATGTGCAGACCATTAGTCCTCAAATCCCTGATTCCAGGACCTGGCAGAGCAGAGATTGGCAAGTGCTGGCCTTTTAGGGAGCAGACCTGCCGCCAATGGCGGCTCAGGTTGCTCGGATTGGGAGTTACTGTTGCATCCAGTGAATACCCAGCCGGTCACTGCCTCCACTGTTTGTTTTGGAAACTATTGGAAGCATAAAAAACACAGTGAGTGACACTTCAGAGTCTAACAGGGAGGGGGGTTTTGGAGCTTGTTGAAAAAAAGCTATAGATAGGGAAGTAGAGAGAGGAGAAAAGGGAGATACAGGTTACAGCTTTACATTAAATTATAAAACTCAAAGACATGCGAAATAATTGCCCACGAGGGACCACTTTAAGCAGATCCGGAGAGATGTATCAGGGTCTTTTGCTCTCCAGTGAAGGCACTGGGAAACAGAAAGGAGTACAAGCTTTTGGGGCCAGTTGGCTCTGCAGTTGGAGTCTCAAATTAGGTGAGCAGCAGTTGTGCCAGTTTATCCGCTCTCTTCTGTTAGTGAGGTGAGGGCAGGCAGGAGTCTCCCAATGCCACTGTCAAGCATCAGAGAAAACTTGGATCTTCAAGCCCTGCCTCTGCTGGAGCCCAATATTCCTATACATAGTCTTTGTTTTTTCTCACAGTACTTAATCAGCAAACACAGTCTAAAAACTCCAGGTCCACCAGCAGGGCAACAAAAGGGCCTTTGCTCCCAAGAATGTGCACAACTCAAAATGTTCGGATTAAGTAATTGATTCCAGTGTCTCCTGGAATATATTCTTGGGCTGGATTTTACTTTTCCTTAAAATGAATATACAAGTTTCTTTTTTTTTCAGGAAGAGACTTGTCTACAACATCCAAAGAGCATGTTTACGTATGCAGATATGAGATGTCTGCCTGTGTGCATATGATTTGGTCTCCTACTTTTCATCAGAAATAAGAAATCAAGTGCCCCTGGATTCTTTTGCAGGTTGCATCTTAACTAATAGCATTTGCATTTTTCCAGAAAAATTATATTATTCTCCTCTGACACATTTGTAAAAAGGGCATTTAAAGCTGATCCAAGTTCATTTAAAATAAGATGCAACTTGAAATAACTTATAATATGCCAATACTGGAATCTGAGAGTAAAAGACCTGTGTGTCCTTTTAATTTCAGCTACTTAGGTACAAATGTGCCCTGCCACTGTGATGGCAGTGGTAGTGGTGGTGGTAGGGGGATATTCAGCCATAGGGAGGAGATCTTCAGGCAACTGGGTATGACTTTAAACACTCTAAAAATCTCAGTATGGCAAAGAGTTACTTACAGCTTGAATGCTGCTGAAGGGTTTGGCTCAATCATTATTTAGCCACTGCTCACCATGCAGAATTGAGAAAGACACTGTCCCTATCCTAGACAGGCAAAGTGAACCTCACAGGTAAGGCCAATTTCGTGTAAGGAACTTGGGCTGGAAAACAGCCACATCTGCATGTGATCTGAGCATTCGTTTCTTTTCGCACCCATTAAAGTGGGGGGAGAGTGTTTGTTCATTTCCTCTTACTCAGAAGATCTATCTATCTATCTGTCTATCTATCTATATGTATCATCTATCTATCTATCTATCTATCTATCTAATCTATCTCTATCTATCTATATTTTATTTATTGCATGCTCTTAGCTAAAATACACAACTAAAAAACAGAAAAGTCGAGTTTATTTGTTAATTTTAGAGTGCAATTATTACCATGTAATATTTGTGTTAGTATCTCCTAATACAGGTGTTGTCTTGCCTTTAACCTTAGCTCAATTTATTGTTAAAAGGCAGGACGTTACCTTGTATAGAAAGGGACAACTTTGCTTGGTATCTTTTTTTTTAAATAGATTTTTGTAAAAATAAAGCAAAAGATGTTTGTTGCAATGTCTGTGCTAGTATTTTAGACTACCTAACATATGATGTGATATTTTGAAATCAAGAAAATAGCATATCTTGGGTGTAAGTTTCTTTCTTAGAAGAAACTTCTTTCTTAATATTTATTACATGCATGTAATTTAGTCATCCAGAATTTTTTTATTTTTGTAATCTGAACTTTTTCCATTCCCATTTCTGTATATATCTGTTGACATCACTGGGAGATATGTAGCTTAGCTCTCCCTTGTATGTACTAGACTAAAATATAGTTAATTCCTGTTAACTTGTATCTGAGGGGGAAAATATTGCATTATCTCATAACTAGCTTTGCAGTCTGGTCAGCTGCTGAAGCACTGGGCTGTCAGGTATTGGGGGCCTGAGGCGCATGTACTAATGCCAGCAATTCATTCTCCACACCTGGAAGTCTCTTTGGGGCATCTCTATATTTCATCCATGAACACCCATAAACCTTTATAAGAGACTCTTCAACAATGGAGGGGCAGCGAAACATGTGGAGGTTTCTGAGACCCACAGATGCCCACAATAGAAAGAAGAATATGTTTTTTAAGTTTGATAATAGGAAAATCCTTACAGTAAAATGTTGGTTTTGAATTGCCCACTCCCCATGATTAAGATATTTTGGCATAGTTCCAAGCTTGTGGAACATGAATCTGAAACAAGCTACTCATGGCCTTTTTTTTTTGTCATTACTTGGGAAAGACCTCCTTAGAATGAACACTCTAATGAACACTTTAATGAAAGCAGAGTCAGGAAATGTAATCAGCTTCCCCACAACATCATTTGAGTACCTGAATTCAACTTTGCCTGCACTAGCTAAGTGACATGAAGAAATAAATTATCGTTGTTTGCTTAAGTGAGCTTCAGCTGGGTTTCCATTACTTGTAGACAAAAGAGTCTTGACAAATACACTCATCTTGATAAAATTTGGAAGATCACTTTCTTCTTCTAGTTTTCTTTCTTCCTACCTCTTCTCCTTTTTCAATACTACTGGTTATGAGAATAGGAAAATTATGTTATTGACTAAATTTTACTTTCTACATGAATTCTTCAGGCTATGATAATAAATAGGAATAAGGCTCAAGCAGTACAGCATGTAAGAAGACAGACTTTAGATTCAGACTGACCTGATTCAAATTCTGACTCTACTTTCTATCTGAATGACCTTACACAAGTCTTTTTTTTGCATTCAGTTCTTTGTTTTAACCATTTAAAGCTATTATTTCTAACACTCCTATCATAGAGTATGTTTCTGTAAGTGTGTTTATATATCTGAGAGTTTAGTAAAAAGAGAAGAAAACATGCAAACCACTTAGGACAAAGCCTGGAACATAGTAAGCACTCACAGATGTTTTCAAAATTAAAGAGATGATGGGAGTTAATTTCAAGAATGTGCTAATCTTTCTATCAACTATACAGCTGTGAATTCTTTGAGGCGAAACACTCGAAGGGGAAAACTTTGGGATCAACACTGGAACCCCCAACTTTTGGCTAAATCCTAAAGCAGATTCAAAAGGTTGAAAGTCTTTAGGAAAGCCACCTTTTTTTTTAAGAAATTCAAATACTATTTTAATAAATAAAATTAGTGAATTAAACCAAAAGATTACATTTGAATTTCAAAAATCCATAGGAAACATGTCTTCTAGAATACATGACCTGTTTTTATCAAGTTCATCCTTGGAAATATATCTTTGGTATTTACCAATGCAATGTAAGTGTATGTTCTTATATGATTAGATAAAATGTGTTAATGACAAGACCCTAACTCGTAGCTGTGTTCTCACTTCAGGAAATTGAGGGATGTGGCCTAATTAATATTAAAGTAATTCTCACACTGAATCCCTCAACTTCTGGTTAGCTTAATTCAATATAATCTCTCAAGAAGACTGTGCTTTTATTCATCTAGTCTTGAGTTATGCATGTCAAACTTTGTTACTCTTGCTCCTTGGTAGAGTAGGGGAAGAAAAAGTAGAGATACAAATTCTTATCTGTGTTCGCTGTGTTCTTCTCATGGGGAGGATTGGAAGCGAAATGCTCATGCTTGCAAAAACTTTAGCTACAGGAAAATGCATTCTGTTGAATTTAATCATGTGTTCATACTGCTATCAAATGGTGAAGGCCTTCCTATGATAATAATTACAACATTAGGCTTCAGTTCATTGTATTTCTCATTCTAACTGAAGTATATCAAAGGCATACAACTACTTTTTCTTATTTCTTCACTGAATTAATAACCTAAGGTCGATAGAATTTTTAAAAATTTCCTAGGAAATTTGCCACCAGAATTATGGGGACAATTTTGTACGTGGCTAATTTTGAGCAGGATAAATGAATAAACGAAAAAGAAAAAACCTTTTTGAAAGTCCAAATGTAATTCTACCCTATGGTGATTCTAGTAATTGCCAGAAGAGGCATTGTATGGTCACCTTTCAGCTGTCTTTGACTTCCTGGAGCAGTGAAAATAATAAATAATTATAAATGCATCCTGTCTCTTTTAGTCCTCAAACACTCTCCATTAAAACATTGAGCTTAAGGCCAGGTATATGGGCTCACACTTGTAATCTCAGTGCTTTGGGAGGCTGAGGGAAAAGGATAGCTTGAGTCCAGGAGTTCGAGATCATCCTGGGCAACATAGCAAGATCCTGTCTCTACAAAACCTAATGAACAAAATTAAAGAAAACACACACACACACACACACACACACACACACACACAAAAACAACACCAAACTAGTGTCAAACCTATTCCTTTTTATGTTACCTCTCTGGTGCTCCATTGGCACTTGCACAGTCATATATTAACTGAAGGCTCAATCAGGACTGCTGGACATAATATTTTTTCATGGGTAGAGTTTGTGCTATGTGAATTTTTAGGTTAGGTCATTTTAACTTGGGTATTATGCCTTATACATTTCTTTTACCTACTCCACCCCCATCTTTCCTCTTTCCTTTTCTTTGTTTTTTTTCATGCTTTTTTTTTTTTTTTTTTTTGAGACAGAATCTCCCTCTGTTGCCCAGGCTGGAGTGCAATGGCACAATCTCAGCTCACTGCAACCTCTGCCCCCCAGCTTCAGGTGATTCTCCTGCCTCAGCCTCCTGAGTAGCTGGGATTACAGGCGTGTTCAACCACGCCCAACTAATTTTTGTATTTTTAGTAGAGACGGGGTTTCACCATGTTGGCCAGGCTGGTCTTGAACTCCTGACCTCAGGTGATCTGCCTGCCTCAGCCTCCCAAAGTGCTGGGATTACAGGCTTGAGCCACCGCACCTGGCATCATGCTGCCTTTTTAAAAATGAGGATGAGAGTCAGAGTTACCTCCAAATATGCTATATGCATCAGCCTCAAAGAAAGTGGGCTAGGATTTGAAAAATGACTGCAGGTGCCAGTTTGATATTTTAAAATAAATAATTCAGACATATAGCAAAATATCACTGGCTCAGATCACTTGAACGGAGATATGCCAAGTTAATTGCATCAATGAATTATTGAAAAAAAATACTGTTTATGAGGAATTATTTTATCTTCCTAAAACTAGAAAAATGCTTGCTTTACACCCTCTTCCCCTACACACGCTTTCTCACCAAATGACTCCACTCAGTTCTCAGATCAGTGAGTCATCATCTGGCTCTGCCTAATTTGGGCAGCCATGAGCCCAACAGAAGCAGATCCTTCTGTTAAGAAAGAAATCATCCTGAACTCCATTGGGCCCACCAAATCTCGTGCTAATCTTTTCACTATTTACTTACTCCTGGATATTTACAATATATTTTCCTCTTCTTAACTTGGCACCCTACCTCATCATTCCTAGGACATGCGAATAAGGTACTAAAGGCTTCTTTCCATATTCTCATAATTATCTGTATTTAATCAGGGCTTTTCAATACCTAACAACCACAGATGTACTGACACTCAAAAATATTTGGTAGTAGGCTGAGGGATTTTCCCTAAGTCTATCAAAACACCAAATATAGGCAAACACCTATACTGCCTGTGCTTGAAGCCAATCTATGCCTTCTTTCATACACTGTCTTCCTTCCCAGGGTCCCCACATTAATATTACTAGAGAAAAAACTGCTCCTTCATGAAGTAAATATTTGTAGTTAGTAAACCCTGATCAATGCTCCGAGGGGCAAAAGGGAAGGTTTTAATAATTAAGAAATAAAGACAAATTTTAAAAAATACAAAAGAGAAATCACAGAAAACAATAAGGTCTTCATGGAGATAAGTCTGCTGAACTGAAACAAAGCAACCATATCACCACCCTACAGCAAACTCCTTGACATGCCTTTTATGGCCAGGTGCTTTCTGTAGTCCCCTTCTCTAGTTTGAAGGCATGTGTGTGTGTGTGGTATGTGTGCTTGTGTGTTTGTGTTACAATGCGGTGTATGAGCTCAAGCTCTGGTAAGAAAAATCAGGAATAAGTAAAATAAAACAATCTTTTTTGGCACACTTTGATGTTCCCTCTCTCACCCCAATGCCCATGCTTTGGGACTTCAGACCTCCTCCTGAAATCAAATGAGTGCAAAGAAGATCAAATAATCCTTCTGCCTCTGTGGATCTAGAGCTCCTTGGGGAAGAGCCTCGGTAGAAAGTACCACTACTTAGAGCCCTTGGCTAGGGCCACTTTTCAGTGTTAGACACCTGCCACTCAGCTCAGTGACTTCCACGTTGGCTTCAGTCCTCACCTTCCAGGAGGCACTCCCGTCCCTTCCCCTTGCTCCCTAGCTCCCTAAACAAGATCTGTGAGCACTAATGCATAGTATCCTGGGCCTGGGAGCCTTCTGGCTGCATTGCTGCCTAGGAGAGGGACTATTGCTGGCTTCTTTGGGTATTACAGCATACTCTTAACAGACTGGACAAGTCTAGCCTTCATTAATTTTAAAGAGCACTAATATTCTACTTCCAGTCCCCCGAGAAGTAGTGATTGCAAGATCTCTGTCACAAAACCCCCAGTTAATGAAAGATGAAACTGACAGTTATCAGTTGGACTTTCCTAATGTTAGGGACTTGGTTAGTGATAGTTAACAGGAGAGGAAGAGGCTGAGGAGAATCCCTGTACTGATGTCCCACTAAAACCCATAACATGGTCAGTAAGGCAGAGGTATTTACCTGGAAGGCAAGAAGCAGTGTGTTGCTGTGTCAAGAGGCCAGGCCAGCCCAGTGGTTCTGAAGTCAAGTCTCAGTCAGAGCTCATTCACTCTGCAAATGCCTGCAGCAGCTCTTCTCAAGAGCCCAGAGAAGAGTGGCCTAGAGCCAGAGCACAAGAGAACGTGGTGTTCTGGCCCTCAGCTGTGGGAGAGGCACTTGCTACTTCCGGGGTTGGACTCCAGCAACTTCTCCCACAGAAGACCTGCTGTTACTCAAGGTTGGCCATGAAGTCACAATGACAGTCTGTGATTTCAGCTTTCAGAGCCTCAAGGCTGCAGGCACCCTGCATCCTACCTCAGCCTCCCGGTTGCAACCATACCTGGCTGCATCCTGCTCTGAGCTACAGGCTAATGCACTTGGGAAAAAATGCCTTTGAAGCAGGAGTGGATTGACTTTACAAGTCTAGTCAGCTCATTTCCATGCCCAGCAGGAGCACTTGCAGTTGGAAAACACTTTTCAATCCTCAATCAACAACAGCAGCTCAGAAGCTCCACTCAAGGGGTTCAGCTCTGGAGTCATCCACTAAGAGACCCATTCAGCCTCAGGCAGTGATTCCCAGGCAGTGTAGAGACTCTCAGTGGCCAGGATCCCCCTCTCAGTCTGCAAGCGCCACATAAACAAAACTTTACACCTCCTAAAGGAAAGATCCAACACACACACATATACACACACACACACACACAATTTAATGCACAGCGAATCCCAGAAATGTCTTGGCTGACACATTTTTCTGCTGCAAAATAGAACATGTTTGATTTTTACTTGTTGGTTTATTTCTCCAGGGCAGCTCAGAGAGAATCGAAAAGGGCTTAAGGCCCTAAGTCAGAAGAATTTACTAGCAATAAGTGATCCATAGGTACTTGAAAAATCAATGCTCATTTTATCCTCTAGTGAAGAGGCTCTCATAGAAGAGAAGACAGATTCTGGATTAGTGCGGTTTAATTGGACGAATTCTATAGCTTTTAAATTTATTTTCTCCATTGCAGAGAGCACCATACCTTTCAAGTAATGCAGGAAACCCCAGCTACCCCGCATTGGGCTACCACACCGCAGTGCCATGGATAACTAGGAAGGACCCAGGGGATTTCCCAAATAAAACCCCTGAAGCAGATAATGCCTGTTATAACCCTGCCTGAAAAACCAGAGGCCAAGGAGGACCACGCATTTCTTATCAATACTGAATGCCAAATAGTGACGGTGATATTTCTGATGGGTTTATAAATGCATTCCGGTGTTCCTGAGATTTGCAGCTCACAGTCAACCACACAAAAACTCAAGGGATTATTTTTTAATTTTTAAATTTATTTTACTATCTCATGTGAAAGTTTTAAATGTCTGAAGAGGACTACAGTCTCTCTAAAGTATTTTTCCTGGCAAATATTTTCCCTTCTTTCAAGAAAAGTAAAATAGTGATTGTATTTTATTTTATTTTAGACTTTCCCCTTTACTTTATCTTGATTTTCAAGTTAAAAAGTGTCACAGTAATAAGTTTCAGCCATTTTTGAAGATAACTCAGAGACAGGATTTTCCAAGAATCCTTCTACACCCACTGAAAGAAGAATGTGTTTGTGTCTTCGCGCTCCTGTGTGTTTGTTTAGGGAGAGAAGGTTGCAAATAAGAACAGCATGTGAGCCCATCCATAGAACTATGTGCATTTTGAAACACGACAAATCTGTTTCTGTTCCTTGTTTAATGTCGGGAAATGTGTTTCCTGTCGTAATTGGGGCTGTTCACTTTTGGTGATATTTAAAACGGGCCCAACAGAGACAAGTTGATGTTTGGTTAACCACGAAGGAAATGGCTTTTGATCAAGCAGGCAATTACTAACCAAATCTGGTAACTTCACAAGCAAAACAAAGGAATTTGTTAACTAAGTTTTCTTCTACAGTAATGCGCAAGGCAATTATTTATGAATGAAAGAGAGTTTTCCGTGCCGGTGAGCAATAGACAGTGAGGAGTGAGCCACCAGGACTAGACTCTCATCACAAAACATCATTTCCAAACTCAGGGCAGGAGTGCCCTTTTTATGTCGCTGGGTGTGTATATGCGGGAAGAAGGCTAAGTGCAAGTGGCAGCATAATCCTGAGGTGGCAAGGTCTCCGCCTGCTGTAGCAGAAGAGGCTTGTGGCTACGTCATAAATAATCCTATCCAGGCAACTCAGGAAACAGTGTCTTTCTTCCCATCTCCACTCCCCTCTGTGAGCTCTGCAGTGCTCCGTTTCAGGGCCATGACGGCCGGGGGAAACTTCACTTCTGGCCTTTGGGGAGAGGGCTTTTGAGAGACCAGGCTCTGACGCTCCGCAGAATCAGGTAGTTAGCCAGGGACAAGTGTTGCCAAAAACTCAATTCAACATGATTACATGTGAAGGGCTAGATGTATACTGCCTGGGTAGACGCAGCAGTGCGGTCTGCTGGGGGCAAATTTTGGCATTCCAAAGAGGCTCATCTTGTCTCATGACCTTAGCAGGTGCACTTAATTCCTGGTGGCTCCTACAAAGTCGTACCCGAGGAAGCAGCCCAATAGAAGAGAACAAGGGCTTGGCTTCTCAAGATTCAGGAGACTTTGACAGAGTTCTGGGGCGATACCACTCACAGGTGTGAGGCCTCCAACAATAACCACTACCTCTTTCTTTCTTTCTTTCTTTCTTTCTTTCTTTCTTTCTTTCTTTCTTTCTTTCTTTCTTTCTTTCTCTTCTTTCTCTTTCTTCCTTCTTTCTTTCTTTTCTTTCATTCTTTCTGTCTTTCTCTTTCTTTTTTTAAGCTTGCTATCTTGCTACATGTTAACTCTTAATCCTCATGTTGCTACATGTTAACTCTTAAACCTCACAGCAGCAACAATAACAAATCAGGTAGGTAACTTCATTCTTCCATTATCCGCCTCAAGTAATCGAGATTTAAGAGAGCACATTAGTGGTGGAGCTAGCTGCCAATCTCCAGTGCTGTGGTGACTCTACAAGACCACTGCTCAGGGATCAGCAAGTAAGGAATTTTAAACCGTCTGCCATCATTCCAATAGCCTGCTCCTGCCCCAAGTCCCTGCGGTGATTATCAGAGGGCCCAGGGGCAAAAACCCGACTGCAGCTTCTTGCAGCCAGCATAAGCTATCCTATTTTGCATGTTCCTTTGTCTCCTTGGTGCTACTCTTGGAACAAACCAGAACTTCCCAGCAGTTTGCGGAGCGGGCGCCTTCTGGGCAGAGCCAGATACCTAGCTTTCTTCCAGCCAAGCGTACCTCACAGGACCTTTGCTGCTGTAGAGCTTGAATCTTGACTTAGTAATTTAGGTCGCGAATGGCTGCTCTGGGCGCCAAGATGTGCTCAAAAGTTTGGGGTGAGGTTGCTGCACTCATCAGGGACTCCAAAAGCACTTTCCTGTGATAGTAAAGCTCTGTCTGGGTCAAACAGGCCGTTTTACAAACACTTTAGAAAGTCAAAGCACAAGTGCCATTTTCCGGTGCTCCTCTGAATCCCTATTACCCAGTTATATCATCCGACCTGTGATTCAGCTTCCCAGTATCTTCCTGGACCAGCATGACCTTTGAAAGACCATGATCCAGGGCGCCATCGATTTATTAAAAACACTATTTTGTGAGAAGCCAAGAAGTTTCTGATATTATTCCCCTTGCCGGAATGTAACAAAATGCCACTCATATTTTTAAATTGGGAGAGTTTAGGCGGTTTATTTTTTACCATCCATAGAAAAAAAATATTGGACATGATTAATGGATAATTGTTGGCTAGAATTTCAGACAGCATTCTCTCTCTTACTTAGCATAATTGCTTAACTGTGTCCAGATTTGCCAGTTACCTCTATTTAAAAAAATACAAGTGGCCAGCTCCAGGGGCAATTAGCACATCATCACCTAGGGAGCCCAATGAGATAACTTTGGATATTAACTTGCAAACAATTATTAATTTAATGAATTTACACATATATGTTAGCCTAAGAATAATCTATTGAACCAGTTACAATAATTATACTTTGATGAAATTTAGGCTTTATTCTCTAGAAAATCTTAAATACAACCCTGTATTCAAATTTTCAATTACAAATTTTAACACAATGATGCAAGTGTGTATTTCACATTGGTGAACTTATTTTAATATTTTAAAGCCATGTCTATTTAATGAAAACCATGCATTGAAAACTGACTGATTTCTTGCTTAGGATCATCGCGACAACTGAAGTAGATTGAACAGCACATCTAATTGACTGAGCAAAGTTTGGTCACAAGGATTATTGTCACAAAATGAACTTATCAAAAGAAAAAAAATAAATTAGACCTTGTTACTCAAGTGAAGGAACATTTAGTGGGACAAATAGGGGAAAGGTGGGGATAGAAAATTCAGAAAACTTTAAAATGGAGAATAGGTTTAAGTATACGAAAGTTAGCCATACTTCACAAGAGAAAGAAATAAAAGGCATCCTAATAGGGAGATAGGAAGTCAAACTATATGCAGACAGTATGATTCTGTACCTAGAAAACCTCATGGTCTTGGCCCAAAAGCTCCTTGATCTGATAAATGAATTCAGCAAAGTTTCAGGACACAAAATAAATGTACAAAAATCAGTAGCACTTTTATACACTGACAACATCCAAGCTGAGAGCTGAATCAAGAATGCAACACATTTCCAGTATCCACAAAAAGAATAAAATACCTATGAATACAGCTAACCAGGGATGTGAAATATCTCTACAACAAGAGTTACAAAACACCTTTCAAAGAAATCAGAGTTGACACAAAATAGGATCAATATTGTTAAAATGGCCATACTTCCCAAAGCAATCTACAGATTCAATTCTATTCCTGTCAAACTATCTATGACATTCTTCACATAATTAGGGAAAAAAAACTATTTTAAAAGTCATATGGAACCAAAACAGGGCTTGAATGGCCAAGGCAATTGAACAAAGACCATGAACAAAGAACAAAAGAACAAAGCTGGAGGCATCATGTTACCCAACTTCAACCTATAATACAAGGCTGTAGTAAACAAGCAGCATGGTATTGCTACAAAAACAGATACATAGACCAATGTGACAGAATAGAGAGCCCAGAAATAATGCCACACACTTAAAACCATCTGATCTTTGACAATGCCCACAAAAACAAGCAATGAGGGAAGAACTCCCTATTTAATAAATGGTGCCATATGGCTAGCCATATGCAGAAGATTGAAACTGGACACCTTCCTTACACCATATGCAAAAATCAACTCAAGGTGAATTAAAGACTTAAATGTAGAAACTAAAACTATAAAAACCTGGGGAGATAACCTAAGAAATACCATTCTGGATATAAGACCTGGCAAAGATTTCATTATGAAGATGCCAAAAGCAATTGCAACAAAAACAAAACTTGACAAGTGGGACCTAATTAAACTAACGAGCTTCTGTGCAACAAAAGTAAATATCAACAGAGTAAACAGATAACCTACAGAATGGGAGAATATATTCACAAACTATGCATCTGACAAAGTTCTAATATCCAGAATCTATAAGGAACTTAAGTGAATCAACAAAGAAAAGACAAACCACACCATTAAAAAGTGGGCAAAGGACATGAACAACCACTTTTCAAAAGAAGACATAAACGCAGTTAACAAACGTATAAAAAATGCTCAACATCACTAATCATTAGAGGAATACAAATCAAAACCACAATGAGATACCATCTCACACCAGTATGAATGGTTATTATCAAAAAGTCAAAAAATAACAGATGCTGGCAAGGTTGTGGAAAGAAGGGAATGCTTATACACTACTCATGGGAATGTAAATTAGTTCTGCCACTGTGGATAGTAGTGTGGTGATTTCTCAAAGAACTCAAAATACAATTACCATTCAACCCAGCAATCTCATTATTGGGTGTATATCCAAAGGAATATAAATTGTTCTACTATAAAGGCACATGCATGCATATGTTCATCACAGCACTATTTGCAATACCAAAGACATGGAATCAACTTAAATGCCCATCAACAGTAGACTAGATAAAGAAAATGTGATACATATACACCACAGAATACTATGCAGACATAAAAAGGAATGAGATCATGTCTTTTGCAGCAACATGAATGGAGCTGGAGGTCACTATCCTAAGTGAACTAATGCAGGGACAGAAAAACCAAACACAGCATGTTCCCAATTATAAGTGGGAGCTACACAGTGGGTTCACATGGACACAAAGAAGGGAATAACAGAAACCAGGACCTACCAGAGAATGGAGGATGAGCAGAAGGAGATTAATGAAAAACTACCTATCGAATATTTTGATTATTACCTGCATGATAAAATCATCTATACACCAACCCCTGTGACATGCAATTTACTTATATAACAAATCTGCATATGTACCCCTGAACCTAAGAAAAGATTTAAAAAGTCATACTTCAAAGGCTTATTAAAGTGCATGTAGTGATCTCTGATTAAAGTATAAAGACTTTCTTAGATAACAAGAGGTATTTGATGATAATGTTAATTATACTATTACTAAATAATCTTGCTGTACACTTTTTTTGGTGCCTGATTTGTTAATAGTTATTTATAATTGCTAGAAACTGAAAACAACCCACTGTCCTTCAACAGGTAAGTGATTAAACAAATTGAGTACATATGTACCACAATAAAAAGGAATAAACTATTGATACACACTACAACCAGATGAATCTCCAGTTTATCTTCCTCTAATTCTTAGTTTCCTATTGTTTGGTGAGTTGCTGTAGTTTCATTGTAATTATTTACATGGCTTTATTTTTGTAATTGTTTTCAGCATGAAAATAAAACAAGTGAGGAAGTTTTTAATTACATAATTGAAATGTCCATCTTTATTTACAGTTTCTAAATTAATGAGATTCCCCCTCCCCAATGATAAAATTAAATCACATGTAGTAAATGTGGCTGTCATTATAGTGGCATTAAATTACAAATTTAATAGTAGGAAAATCTATGAAATTTTCTATATTTTATTTTATAAATTGATTTTTCTCTTTTTATTGGTACTGATAGAACCCAGCTGAGATAACTTTATCTCTAATCAGATGACATATTATTTTAAAGCATATCAAATAGTGTTTTATTTCTTTATTACAACATGTGTCAGAAACTCAGAAAAGGATAAATCAAATCATTTTAATTTTCTATCATGAAAAATGAAATGAACAGAAAAAGACAATTGGTATAATATAATCAGAAACATTTTTGAAGTGGATGTAGCTTTATATGGTATGTTGGATGACATTTTCCGTTGAATTAGGGGAATGTTTATTTGTTATAGATTGGCTCAGATCATTATCACATTTTGTGATCTTACTGAATTCCAATAAATTACTTTTAGGTTATGTGGTACTCTCTGGCCAGTAAGCAAAAGAAATAAAGCCCAATATTAAATAAGTTTATTAGAAACTGATTTAAGTGCCTTTAAAGGAAGCATCTTATTTTCATACTTGTGAATGTAAGCAATATTCTCATTACATATTAATTTTTCAAAAGCTCAAAGATTAATTCCAAACTAGAGACTACAGGGTAACTAAACTCAGCTGAGAGGCAATTGAATTTTTTTGTGATTCTACTAACTGTTTCATTCTTGCAATAACAAAAAACTGGTGTCTTGCTTTCAGGTAATAGTTCATTTTGAAACATCACCTGTATTTAATTTGGTAACTGATATTATTATCTTTTATGTTTTCATCTGATTATCTTTTGGCTTTCTTCAGTGTTATAGTTATGAATTTGATGCTAACAGATTTTCTATTATAAAATGTATTGTCATTAACCCAATCCATATTTGAATATTTATAAGAACACAAAATTGGCGAACATCTGACAAAATTATCTTTTTCCCTTACTGTGTCATTATATTTTTATACTTTACATACTTAATTATAAAAAAGAACAATTGTTTTCTTTAGAAGTCTTCCAGTGAGTAAAGCATAGAAGTGGCATTAAATTCTAGTAGTTAAGAGAACCAGATGCAGAGTCAGAGAGACCTAGGTCACAGTTTTGAATCTGCCACTTATTACCTGATAACCTTGAATGAATTACTCAGCTTTTCAGAACCTCAGTTTTTTTCATCTATAAAATGTGGATAAGAGCAACACTTATCTCATAGGTTTTCTATAAGAATGAGATAATTCATGGACAGCATCTTGCTAACTTTCATTGAACACTCATTAACAATAACAACAACAGTGCTCATTGACTTACATCCAATATTTTCAAGAAAATTTCTGATGTGAAACCACTTCAAATAATTAAAACTTTTTCAAATTCAAGTTTAGATTTTTTTTTATTATTATACTTTAAGTTTTAGGGTACTTGTGCACAATATGCAGGTTAGTTACATATGCATACATGTGCCATGTTGGTGTGCTGCACCCATTAACTCGTCATTTAGCATTAGGTATATCTCTTAATGCTATCCCTCCCCCCTCCCCCCACCCCACAACAGTCCCTGGAGTGTGATGTTCCCCTTCCTGTGTCCATGTGTTCTCATTGTTCAATTCCCACCTATGAGTGAGAATATGCGGTGTTTGGTTTTTTGTCCTCATGATAGTTTGTTGAGAATGATGGTTTCCAGCTTCATCCATGTCCCTACAAAGGACATGAACTCTTCATTTTTTATGGCTGCATAGTATTCCATGGTGTATATGTGCCACATTTTCTTAATCCAGTCTATCATTGTTGGACATTTGGGTTGGTTCCAAGTCTTTGCTATTGTGAATAGTGCCGCAATAAACATATGTGTGCATGTGTCTTTATAGCAGTATGATTTTATAATCCTTTGGGTATATACCCAGTAATGGGATGGCTGGGTCAAATGGTATTTCTAGTTCTAGATCCCTGAGGAATCGCTACACTGACTTCCACAATGATTGAACTAGTTTACAGTCCCACCAACAGTGTAAAAGTGTTCCTATTTCTCCACATCCTCTCCAGCACCTGTTGTTTCCTGACTTTTTAATGATCGCCATTCTAACTGGTGTGAGATGGTATCTCATTGTGGTTTTGATTTGCATTTCTCTGATGGCCAGTGATGATGAGCATTTTTTCATGTAGAATCTACAATGAACTCAAACAAATTTACAAGAAAAAAACAAACAACCCCATCAAAAAGTGGGCAAAGGATGTGAACAGACACTTCTCAAAAGAAGACATTTATGCAGTCAAGTTTAGATTTTTTGCAGCTATTATCTAATAGTGTAATCTCACCTTGGTTAAAAATTAAAGTGAAATACTTTAATTTCTGATACTTCTATACTTTGCTTAGAAATAAGAGCTAAAATCAGGCAGTATAATTAAAAAACCCTGAATCATGCACTTTGCTTTCCTTTCCCATACATTTAAAAAACTTATTTTGGAATAATTTTAGATTTACAAGAAGTTGGGAGAAATAATAAAAAGATCCTGTGTTCTCTTTACCCAGTTTCCTCCATGGTAACATCTTGCAAAAGCATGTGCAATAGCACAATCAAGATACTGACGTTAATATGAACCAAAAATTTTGTTCTGCTTTCACCAGTTTTACATATATTCATTTGTATGTGCATGCCCATGTATATATTTAGTTCTATGCAATTTTATCACACGTGTAGATTTTTGTGTTCACCACCACAGTCAAGATACAGAACAGTTCAATCACCATGAAGATTCCTTATGCTTCCTTTTTATAACTATACTCACCTCCCTCCCATCTCACCTCCATAAATGAAATTTACGGAATATAACCTTTGGGATTGGATTTTTTACTTAGCATATTTCCCTGGAGATTTATCCAGTTATGATGTGTATCAACAGTTTATTCCTTTTTGTACACATTTTGTTTAATCACTTACCTGTTGAAGGACACTGGGTAATCACAAATAACTATTATGAACATTCACGTACAGGTTTTTAAAAACTGCTCCTTCTCTCCATCACCATGCCCTATTGTTTTTACTTGCTCCCCTTGACCATCCTCTTGCACTGTTAACGATTCAACTACAGTTTTTTCGCTGCTCAACTGGTCATTTCTCACTTTCAAGATAATAGGAGGCATAGCAGAATGATGAAATTATTTTGATAAGTTCTGATTAATCTGATCAATGTAGTGACGAGGGATTACTCTTATTACTAGTTGCAAATGAATGAAAAAGTGCTATATTTCTGTGGTAGGTAATATTCAGCCCTTAGCCATTCTTTTGAAATTGCTGACAGGGAGAAAATAAAAAAATACATTTAAGAATTAGGAAGATCATATCTCAAGTGGATATACGGTAAAAGAGTATTTTATACAAGTGTATTGCATTCATATGTCACTAGTAAAGTTAAAAGGATTAAATTGTATTACTTTGGACTCTGAAGACACTTTAATTACTTGGCACTAGATACTGGAATTTTATTTTCATTTGGCGTTCAGAAAAGAATTTCTGAATACACAAGGGCATTTTTAAAGGTTTATCAATTTTACAACAGAATACAGAGATACAGTTATTTTTAATAATTTGTGTAACATAGAAAGATGACACATTTTTGCCTAAATTGCTTTTCTTCTAATCAGAGTCAGCTATTTCCACTGCTTTTCATTTTTCTTTGAAAGAAAATCCTACAAACATTTGTTTTCTTCTGTGCTTTGGATTTGGACTGAAGTCTCTGGTTTCTCTTTGCACATTTTCCATTTCGCATAATTAGGTATAGGATAGTTTTGTTTTGTTTTTCATATTAGTGAATAACTATCATATAATATGGATTGGCAATAGCTATTCACTTCACACTTTAATATTTCTAAAGCAAATCTTTATATAACCAGATCAATAAATCACTGAAACATCATTTGAAGTTTAGAATATTTTTGTCTAACAAGGGATATTTTAAAAGAAATTATAAAAAGCATTTATTATAACAATATTTTGTCATTTTTTGCTCCGTATTTTTAGAACTCATCATAGTTGATTTAGCCTTTGAAGTGTGTAGATAAACTGAATTCCCTGAAGCTTGACTGCTTGAGTGTTTTTCATTTACCATAATAAACACTGAGATCCTGCATTTTTTCCAGTTTTATATAAACATAGGGGAATTAGCCCAGTTTCAATGATCAAAATTCTCCTTCCTCCCACAGTAATGTACCCTGCTGTGGTCCAGCTGTCCACCTGGATAGTTAATTCCACTTTGTAAAAGATGCATTTTTTTTATACAAAGTACACTTTAGTGCACCTGGATAAAGGTCTTGTTCATAAAAGAGTTATTGTCATTAGAAAATTAAACAGTTTTGGAATTCATCAAAAATCAATGTTAGTAGTAAAGCTAAAGTTTCAGAATATGATGATTTCAACAATATATTCAAATGCCAATAAATATATTCCATGTAAATAGGTTGCCATGTAAATGTACTGAAATAACTGATTATGAGGATATTTGAAAATACATATTGCTGAGAATTTATATAACAAAATGCAAAGTTGAAATAGAAAAGTCATAGAAGTATGAAATAATAGTCCAGGTCTTACATTTTGTGATACTGTCTCATATATCTTTAACTAGAAAGCAAGTTTAACTTACAAAAATGCAATTTTACTTTAATATTGTGTCCATTAATTACTTGAGACAAAATCCGTTACAAATATCCTTCTGTTAATTGAAGTTTAAAGCATATTTTAATATGTATCATTATCAATTAAGGAGAAAAAATTTAGTGTGATTTATGATATTAGGCATAGTAGAAATAATCTAGAAGCAATATTACACTTGTATTGACAAAGTGACATAGTAGCAATAAGATTTCTATATTGAAGGATCTGATCATAATTCACTAAAATACAAAGGGTTTGTAATTCTGTCCTTTATAGTCACATGCTTAATTTGCTTCATCAAAGATAGTTTTGACTATTTAGATTCAATTATTGCCTATTATTAAATCAAACCATTAAAACACTTTAAGGACAAATCTTTAATTTCAAAATATCTGAAAGATAAAGTAAACATTAGCAAAAATACCTAGTAGCTTATTCTGATACTTATGAAACAATTTCTCTCTGTGTTCTCAAATGTCATGTCCCTAAGCAAAGCTTAATTTCATCTTCAAGTTTATTTTTCTTCTAATGAAGTTTTACGAACTGCTAGTCTCTTATTTTTATATGATGTATGTTTATGTTCAGAACTGTGACTCCTAAAAAGAAAAATTAAATCTGAAGAGAACTCTACCCTGAAAAGCTTGGAAAACCTATGTGTTAATGTGCATAAAATGAAAATGGAATTTTGAATATTTCTAGTCTTTTCTTTATGTTTTGGTTTATTCTCTTCTCACTGTGCCATACTGTGGGAGAAATCTTTTCAGTAAATTCTGATTCCTTCTAGTTTCCATCCTATTCCATGGGTGTCTACTGAATTTTGAGAATTTTACTTTATATCCCTGTTGTTATTTCCAAGTACGGGTTTGCATGCATGAATAATGATTGTTTGAGTAAGAAATTGTCCTTATTTGCTACAGTTTACTCCTTAAGAATTAATACTGAGTTAATGACAACAGATTTTAAGAGACTACCCCTCTCATTTCTGGTCATTTTATGTACCTGAACCAGCCATCAAGCCTTGGAGTAACATATGCTTTGGTATATATTTCCAGTGACCAAACGTATTCATGATGTAACATGTGAATAGAGAGGGACTATGTCTCCTCTGCTACTGGCATAAGTCAAACAAACTAAAAAATTCTCTAATCTTGTAATCAGAGAGTAGAATATGCAAAACCTGTGGAGGATAACTTTTAGAAGTTAATGTTAGGCATTGAATCTGTAAATTACCTTGGGCAGTATGGCCATTTTCACAATATTGATTCTTCCTACCCATGAGCATGGAATGTTCTTCCATTTGTTTGTATCCTCTTTTATTTCATTGAGCAGTGGTTTGTAGTTCTCCTTGAAGAGGTCCTTCACATCCCTTGTAAGTTGGATTCCCAAGTATTTTATTCTCTTTGAAGCAATTGTGAATGGGAGTTCACTCATGATTTGGCTCTCTGTTTGTCTGTTGTTGGTGTATAAGAATGCTTGTGATTTTTGTACATTGATTTTGTATCCTGAGACTTTGCTGAAGTTGCTTATCAGCTTAAGGAGATTTTGGGCTGAGACAATGGGGTTTTCTAGATATACAATCATGTCGTCTGCAAACAGGGACAATTTGACTTCCTCTTTTCCTAATTGAATACCCTTTATTTCCTTCTCCTGCCTAATTGCCCTGACCAGAACTTCCAACACTATGTTGAATAGGAGTGGTGAGAGACGGCATCCCTGTCTTGTGCCAGTTTTCAAAGGGAATGCTTCCAGTTTTTGCCCATTCAGTATGATATTGGCTGTGGGTTTGTCATAGATAGCTCTTATTATTTTGTAATACGTCCCGTCAATACCTAATTTATTGAGAGTTTTTAGCATGAAGGGTTGTTGAATTTTGTCAAAGGCCTTTTCTGCATCTATTGAGATAATCATGTGGTTTTTGTCTTTGGCTCTGTTTATATGCTGGATTACATTTATTGATTTGTGTATATTGAACCAGCCTCGCATCCCAGGGATGAAGCCCACTTGATCATGGTGGATAATCTCTTTGATGTGCTGCTGGATTTGTTTTGCCAGTATTTTATTGAGGATTTTTGCATCAATGTTCATCAAGGACTTCATGTCTAAAACACCAAAAGCGATGGCAACAAAAGACAAAATTGACAAATGGGATCTAATTAAACTAAAGAGCTTCTGTACAGCAAAAGAAACTACCATCAGAGTGAACAGGCAACTTACAAAATGGGAGAAAATTTTTGCAACCTACTCATCTGACAAAGGGCTAATATCCAGAATCTACAATGAACTCAAACAAATTTACAAGAAAAAAACAAACAACCCCATCAAAAAGTGGGCAAAGGACATGAACAGACACTTCTCAAAAGAAGACATTTATGCAGCCAAAAAACACATGAAAAAATGCTCATCATCACTGGCCATCAGAGTAATGCAAATCAAAACCACAATGAGATACCATCTCACACCAGTTAGAATGGCAATCATTAAAAAGTCAGGAAACAACAGGTGCTGGAGAGGATGTGGAGAAATAGGAACACTTTTACACTGTTGGTGGGACTGTAAACCAGTTCAACCTTTTCGAAGTCAGTGTGGTGATTCCTCAGGGATCTAGAACTAGAAATACCATTTGACCCAGCCATCCCATTACTGGGTATATACCCAAAGGACTATAAATCATGCTGCTATAAAGACACATGCACACGTATGTTTATTGCGGCACTATTCACAATAGCAAAGACTTGGAACCAACCCAAAAGTCCAACAATGATAGACTGGATTAAGAAAATGTGGCACATATACACCATGGAATACTATGCAGCCATAAAAAATGATGAGTTCATGTCCTTTGTAGGGACATGGATGAAATTGGAAATCATCATTCTCAGTAAACTATTGCAAGAACAAAAAACCAAACACCGCATATTCTCACTCATAGGTGGGAATTGAACAATGAGATCATATGGACACAGGAAGGGGAACATCACACTCTGGGGACTGTTGTGGGGTGGGGGGAGTGGGGAGGGATAGCATTGGGAGATATACCTAATGCTAGATGACGAGTTATTGGGTGCAGCGCACCAGCATGGCACATGTATACATATGTAACTAACCTGCACAATGTGCACATGTACCCTAAAGCTTAAAGTATAACAATAAAAGAAAAAAAAAAAGAAGTTAATGTTAGGGACTGTGGGTCTTCTCTGTCCATATTCCTTATTCTTATCGTCCATCGATGATGTGAAGTGTGCTGTATTTATTCTTTGAACTGTGGCAAACATGTTTGTAATATAACACAATGGACTTTCATGACAGTGTCCAGTTCTATCCCAGAGAAAAACTTAAAGATTTGGCTCAATTTTTCAGGTATCAGATGAACAGTTTAAGTTAGTGTGCATATGAAACTTAATTTACTAAGAATAATTGTTATGTCTCTGTGCAGGTGTAGCCTGAAAGACCTCTAAGAGAACAACATTTATTTTGATGCTTCATATGCTCCAGATGCTTGTGTGTGTTTATTCACATACATATGCGTGGGTTTGTCTATAGGTGTGTGTATCTGTGTGTAAAATTGTTTATAATTATATTTTTTCAATGTACATGTAGGTATGTGTGGTATCAACTAAGTAAATGACCAATATTTTCTGTTTTTATTGGGATCATGAAAACAGTTGTTATCCTCTCTAATTGATATAAACAAAATTCCTTGTAGATATATTAGACCTAGGAGTTATCCGATTGCATATACAAATAATTTTTATTTCATAGGTTCAGCAGAGGTATAAAAATCTTCAATTCTTAAGGCAATATATATTTTTATTTTGGGAAGATTTTTGGTGTGGATTTCACAGCTTATTTTCTAAATATAACTAACTTTATGATAGCATTTTGTAGTCCTAATAGAAATTTAAATTGTCACTGAATATTTAATGAAAGTTGTAGTAATGATATCTGCATGTTTTCCTCTTTAGCAAATCAAATTATTTTTGCATTACCTTTGACTGTTTTCTAATCCTGGCTGACCAATTTCTACTGGTGTTTTACTTCCATAATTTGTAATTTATATTTCTAAGAGGTTTTTAGTCATTTAAAAAGTACCCAATGAATGTCTTTTATGTACCAGGCTTGGTGATAAGCAGCACATGGATTTTGGAATTTGTTTGAATTCTGATGCCACCACTTTCTAGAAGGGTGTCTGTAGAAAAATTTCTTATTCACTCTGAGTTTCAATTTCCTCACCTTAGAATTTGGATAATAAAATAGTACCCATCTTTCAGGTTGTAAGGGAGTTAACACGTGCAAACCACTTTCACTTCTCCACTTCTTTTCTGGAATATTGTTTAGAATGTCATCCTAAAACTGTTGAGTTTTTGTTGAAGTATAGTGCAGTCCAACTTTCTGTGCTTGAGTTAAATCTTACCAAAGTTCAAGAATCCTATTTCCCATGTCTCATCTTCTCTTTGGCTCACATATCGCAACAATCATCCTTCCCCACCCGCTAAATCCCATTTTCTTCTTCCATCCTTCAAGCTGATGATCTCAAATATTTCTTTATTCAGTACAGAGAAAATTTGTTTTAATTTACATCATCTTGACCTAATAATGTCATTTTGTATGTATCCATTTTCACATTCTTCCTGCTTGTACTTCTCTTTAATCTGTATACTTTTCCTCACCTCCTCTTGAGCCATAAGAGACCATCCTCCTACATTTATCTCTTGACTTCATTCAGATTCTATATATTTTTTCTTATTTCTTTTTTTCTAACATGCTTTCATGTAAGCAAGTACTTACCTATGTTTCAAAGATTGTGCTTCATTTTATCACCCTTATTAATTACCTTTTCACTATTTCTCATCTGTTAATTGCCAAACATCGTTGAATGAAGTATCTGTACATACACTTTTATTATTTTACTATTGACTATTCCTTTTAATCAATCTAGTTTCCTTCTCCTATTTTTCATAGATATGGAATTTTTCTAGCCAAAGCTAATGTTCGGGTCTTTAATCCCTTTTTTTTTCTTTTTCCTCAATTTAATGTTTGAATAGTTAATGGAGTCACATAGTCCAAAAATCAACACTTTATACAAATGAATACATAGAGTTCTTCCTTCCCATTTCTGTTCTCATCTGTCATGTTTTAGCACCTTCGCACCCAACATGAGACATTAAAAGTAGTTTTTTGTGTGTGTGTTTATGTCATTTCAATATTTTTTAAATGCCAATACAAGTAAACTTACTCCCATTTTACACAAAAGATAACATAATGTATAAATTGCTCTGTAGTTTTTATTTTTCACTCACGATGTCCTTGGAGTCATTGCAGTCCATAGGGACCTTCCTTATCATTTCTTAATATCAGGACTATAGTCTATTGTGTGGGTGAATTATGGCTAATTTTACCCATCCACCATGGATGGACACTGACTTGTTTTCAGTCTTTGGCTATTACAAGCAATCCTGAAGAAAATAACTTTGAACATACGTTTTTTGATATGTGTCTTATGTGCGTGATCAGTGGGATAAATTCCCAGAAACAGACACACACATTTGAAATTTTGATTTATAGTACCAAATTCTCCCCCATAGGTGTATCATTTTACACGTTCCACCAGATTTATATGAAAGTAACTATTTTCCCATTGTTTTGTGGAATAAATGTGTTATAATTTTATGGCAGATAAGATCTCAGTGCAGTTTTACTTTACAATTCTGTTCTTATATGATTGAACATATTTCCTTATTTTAAGAGGTGGCCATTGATGGGACAAAAGGTATATAAATGAAACTGGTAAATTGTTTTCCAAAGTGATTGTAGCATTTTTCACTCTCATGAGCCGTATTATAAGGGTTCTAGGTTCTCCATATCCTTACCAATATTTTGTGTTGTCAATGTTTTTAATTTTAGTCATTCTTGAATATGTGAAGTAGTATACAATTGTGACTGTATTTGCTTTTTCCTGATGACTCTTGATGTTGAGGATCGTCTCACATGCTAATTATCCATTTACATATTTTTTGGGGGGTTGCGTTTGTGTTTGAGTAAGGAATCAAGAGATTAATGGATTCAGGAAGAAATAAATGATCAAGGGATTGGTAGCATTCAGGAGGGCTAAGAGCAGGTTCAGCAAGAATAAGTGAGAGATGTAGAATATAAAAACTTGCACTCATATATTTTCTTCTGTGAAGTATCTATTCAAGTGTTTAGCTCATTTTAATCAGTTTGTTTTTATTTTTATAGTCTAATTATAGAAGGGTTTTATTTTTTTACATATTCTGGTTGAGTCCTTTGTTCTATATGTGAATTGCAAGTATTATCTCCAAGTCTGTAATTTGCGTTACCAGTTAGGTAATGTATTTTTTGATGAGCAGATAGTTTTAATTTTGATGAAGTATCACTTATCTTTTTTGTTTATGTTTAGTGCTTTTGTGTAATTTGCTTAAAACAAATCTTTGCTTAAGTTGTAAAAATATTCTATGTTTTTCTTTAGAAACATGTTAGTCTTAGCTTTTATGTTTAAGTTGATTGTTCATCTTGAATCAACTATTCTTTGTGATATAAGGTAGGAATTGAGGTTAATATTTCTGTATATGGATATCTGGTTTTTCCAGCACCTTGAAAAGTCCCTGCTTTCCACACTGAATTACCTTGTCACTTCTGTGGAAAATTAAGTGATTATATGTGAGTCTAGAAATAGACTCTATTGTATTCCATTGCTCTATTTATCTGTCTTAATGCTAACACCATGCTGTCTTAATGACCATAGTTTTCTAGTAAGTTTTGAAACCAGATACCTGTCTCCAAATTTGGTCTTATTTTAAGAATTATATTGGCTGTTTCAGATCCTTTGCCATTTCATAAATTTGAGAATCAACGTGTTAATTATTTTCTTATTTGTGTAGTTTATTCCTTGTCTTGTTCCATTTGTGTTGCTATAACAAAGTACCACAAACTGAGTAATTTATAAAGAACAGTAATTTATTTCTCTTACTTCTGGAGGCTGAGAGTCCAAAATCAGGGCACTGACAGGTCTGGTTTTCAGAAAGGGCCCAGTCCCTACCTCCAACATGACACCTTATTGCCACATCCTTCAGAGGGAAAGAATGCTGTGTTCTCACATGATGAAAGTGTTGGGCAAAAAAGACATACATTTTGTGAAACCAGCTCTATAAAGGCCTTAATCTCATTCATGAGAAAGAAGTCCTCATGACCTAATCACCTCCTAAAAGGGATCACTTCTTACTTCTTTTTAAAAAATTCATTTTTAGTTTATATGTAATATTTGTACATATTTATGGAAAAAGTGATATTTTGATACATATATAATATATAATGATCAAATCAGAATAATTAACATATTCATCACCTCAAATGTTTATCATTTTCCTGTATTGTAAACATTCAAAATCCTCTTTTTCAGCTTTTTGAAAATATACAATAAATTATAGTTAACCATGTTTATCCTACAGTGCTGTGGAACACCACAACTCATTTCTCCTATGTAGCATTAATTTTTATCTGTTAACTTGCCTCTCTCCATCTTCCCTCCTACCTATACTTCTCAGCTTCTAACATCTACAATTTTACTTTCTACTTTAATTAGCTCAAAAAATTTTTAGCTCCTATCTTTGTGTAAGAACATGTGGTATTTCTTTTTCTCTGCCTTACCTATTTTACGTAAGATAATGTCCTCCAAGCTCATCCATGGTGTCCTAAATGATATTCTTTTTATGGCTGAATAGTATTCCATTGTGCATATAAGGCACATTTTCTAAATACATTCAACTGTTGATAGACATTTAGGTTGATTCCATATCTTAGCTATTATGAACAGAGCTTCATTAAACATGTGGGTATAGGTATACCTTTGATATACTGATTTTCTTGCCTTTGGATAAATACCCAGTAGTGGAATTGCAGGTTATATGGTAGGTATATTTTAAGTTTTTGGATGAAACTCCATACTGTTTGCCATAATGGCTGTATTCATTTGTATTTCCATCAACAGTGTATACCTGTTCCCTTTTCTCTTTATGTTAGACAGCATTCATTATTTTTTGTCTTTTTAATGATAGCCACTTTAACTGGGGTGACATGGTATATCATTGTGGTTTTGATTTGCATTTCCCTGGTGATTAGTGATGTTGAACATTTTTATATGTACCGGTTGGCCATTTGTATGTCTTCTTTAGAGAAATGATTATTTAGATATTTTACCTATTTTTTATTAAATTATATATTTTTTCCAACTGAGTTGTTTGAATTTCTTATAGATTTTGCTTATTAATACCTTGTCAGATGGAAAGTTTGCAAAATTTTTTTCTGATTTGGTATGTTGTCTTTTCACTTTAATTGTTTCATTTGCTATACAAAATGTTTTTTACCTTGATGTAGTCCCATGTGTCTATTTTTTTTAATCTAGTTGACTGTTCTTTTGACAAAAACTCTTTGCCAAGACCAATGTCCTGAAGCATTTGTCCAATGTATTTTTCTACTAGTTTTATAGATTCAGGACTTAATATTTATATTTTTATTTTTTAATTGATGTTTTATGTAGGGAGATATACGGATCAAGTTTAATTCTTTTCTTCTGCATATGGATATCCATCCAGTACTGCAAGCAACATTTATTCAAGAGACTCCCCCTTTTTAAATGAGAGACACCTCTGTCAAAAATAAGTTGGTTGTAAATGCATAGATTTGTATCTAGGCCCTCTACTCTGTTCCATTGATCAATATATCTGTTTTTATGCCAGTATGATGCTGTTTTGGTTACTATAGATTAGTAATTAATATATTTTGTTGTCAGATAATGTGATGTCTACAACTTTGTTCTTTTTGCTGAGAATTGCTTTGGCTATTTGGGCTTTGTCTTGGTTCCATACAAATTCTAGAATTTCTTTTTCTATTTTTCTGAAAAATGACTGGCATTTTTATAAGGATTACATTTAATCTATGGATTTCTTTGGGTAGCATGGTGACTTTAATGATGGTAATTCTTCCAGTCCATGAGTTTGGGGTATCTTTTCATTTGTTTTTGACCTCTTCAACTTCTTTCAGTAGGTTTTTATAGTTTTTCTTGGGGAGGTCTTTCACATGCTTGGTTATACATATTTATAAGTATTTTTTGTAGTTATTGCAAATGGGACTTACTTCTGATTTTTTCAGCAAGTTCATTATTGGTGTATAGAAACACTACTGATTTTTTATATTGACTTTATGTTCTATTACTTAATTAAATTTATTTATCAGATCTAAGAGTTTTTGTTGTTGTTTTTGTTGTTGTTAGAGGGTTCAGGGTTTTTAGATGTATGATAATGTCCTCTGGAAACAGGAACAATTTGACTCCCCAATTTCCAATTTGTGCCTTTTATTTCTATCTGTTGCCTAAATGTGCTGGCGAGGACTTCCAGTACTATGTTGAATAGGAGTGGTGAAAGTGGGCATCCTTGTCTTGTTCTAGTTCTTAGAAGAAAGTCTTTGAGCTTTTCCTCATTGAATATATTGTTAGCTGTGGTTTTATTATATATAACCTATATTATGTTGAGATATGTTCCTTCTATGCCTAGTTTGTGGAGAGCTTTTGTTATGAAGGAGTGTTGAATTATTTCAAATGCTTTTTCTAAATCTGTTGAGATGATCACATAATTTTTGTCTTTCATTCTATTGATTTGATGTATCATTTTTATTGAATTTGCATATGTTGAACTATACTTGCATCCCTGGAATACATTCCACTTGATCATGGTGTATTATCTTTTAGATATGTTATTAGATTTGATTTGGTAGTATTTTGTTGACGATTTCTGCATCTTTGTTCATCATGGAAATTTGCCTATAGTTTTCTTTTTTTGTTGCATCCTAGCCTGGTTTTATATCAAGGTAATTGTAAAATGAGTTGTGGAGAATTCCCTCTTAATTTTTTTGAAACGGTTTGAGGAGAATTGGCATTAGTTCTTTTCTGTGTGTTTGGTAGAATTCTGCAGTGAACCCATCCAGTCCTGGGATTCTCTTTGTTGGGAGACTTTTTATTACTGAATCAATATTATTACTCTTTATTTGTTTGTTCAGGTTTTCTTTTTCTTTCTGATCCAGTCTTGGTAGGTGTATGTTTTCGGGAATTCATCTATTTCTTTTAAGTTTTCTAATTTTTAATTGTATAATTGCTCATAATAATCTCTGACATTCATTTGTATTTCAGTGGTATCAGTTGCAATGTCTCCATTTTTGTTTCTCATTTTATATATTTTGGTCTTGTCTTTTTTTTCCCTTGGTTATTCTAGCTAACAGTGTACTTACTTTGTTTATCTCCTCAAACACCAATTTTTTGTTTCATTGATGCATCTTCATTTTTTGGGGGGCCTCTATTTTGTTTTATTCTGCTCTGATCTTTGTTATTTCTTCTGCTAATTTTAGGATTTATTTTTTCTTGCTTTCTAGTTTGCATAAGTACATCACTAGATTGTTTATTTGAACACTCCCACTATTTTATTTTAATGTAAGTATGTTTGGTGTAAAATTCCCTCTTAGCACTGTTTTTGCTGTATCCCATAAGTTTTCATATGCTGTACTTAGATTTGCATTCATCTGTTTCAATATTTTTTTCATGTCTTTATTAGTTTATTTCTTGACCCAATGGTCACTCAGAAGCATGTCTTTAAAAATTTAATTTAATTTAATTTTAGGTTCCAGGATACTCATGCAGGTCATGTAGGATTGTTACATAGGTAGACATTTGCCATGGTGGTTTGCTGCACCTATCAACCCATCACCTAGGTATTAAGCCCTGCATGCATTAGCTGTTTATCCTCTCTCTCCATCCCCCTGACAGGCCACAGTGTGTGTTGTTCCTCTCCCTGTATCTATGTGTTCTTATTGTTCAGCTCCCATTTATTTATTATTATTATTATTATTATTATTATTATTATTATTATTATTTTAAGACGGAGTCTCGCTCTGTTGCCCAGGCTGGAGTGCAGTGGCACAATCTCGGCTCACTGCAAACTCCGCCTTCTGGGTTTATGCCATTCTCATGCCTCAGTCTCCTGAGTAGCTGGGACTACAGGTGTCCGCTACCACGCCTGGCTAATTTTTTTGTATTTTTAGTAGAGACAAGGTTTCACGGTGTTAGCCAAGATGGTCTCGATCTCCTGACCTCATGATCCACCCGCCTCAGCCTCCCAAGTGCTGGGATTACAGGCGTGAGCCACTGCGCCTGGCTGTTCAGCTCCCATGTAGAAGTGAGAACATGTGGTGTTTGGTTTTCTGTTCTGCATTAGTTTGCTGAGGATAATGGCTTCCAACTTTATCCATGTCTCTGCAAAGGATGTGATCTAGTTCCTTTGTATGGCAGCATAGTATTCCATGGTGTATATGTACCACATTTTCTTTATCCAGTCTATTATTGATGGGCATTTGGGTTGACTCCATGTCTTTGCTATTGTGAATACTGCTGCAATGAACATATGCGTGCATGCATCTTTATAATAAAACGATTTATATTCTTTTGGTTATTTACCCAGTAGTGAAATTTCTGGGTCAAATGGTATTTATGGTTCTAGGTCTTTGAGGAATCACCATACTGTCTTCCACAATGGTTGAACTAATTTACATTCCCACCAACAGTGTAAAAGTGTTCCTATTTCTCCACAGCCCTGCCAGCATCTGTTGATTCTTGACCTTTTGATAATCACCATTCTGACTGGTGTGAGGTGGTATCTCATTGTGGTTTTGATTTGCATTTCTCTAATGAATAGTGATGTTGACCTTTTTATCATGTATTTGTTGGCCACATAAATTTCTTTTGAAAAGTGTCTGTTCATGTCCTTTGCCCATGTTTTAATGTGTGTTTTTGTTGTTGTTGTTGTTGTTGTTGTCGTAAATTTGTTTAAGTTCCATGTAGATTCTGGCTATTAGACCTTTGTCAGATGGATATATTGGAGAAATTTTCTTCCATTCTGTGTGTTGTCTGTTCACTCTGTTGATAGTTTCTTTTGCTGTACAGAAGCTCCTTCTTTTAATTAAATCTCATTTGTCAATTTTTGCTTTAGTTAAAATTGCTTTTCACATTTTTGTCATAAAATCTTTGCCTGTGCCTAAGTCCTGAATGGGATTACCTAGATTTTCTTCTAGGATTTTCATAGTTTTGAGCCTTACATTTAAGTCTTTAATCCATCTTGAGTTAATTTTTGTATAAGGTGTAAAAAAGGGGTCCTGTTTCAATTTTCTGCATATGGCTAGCCAGTTTTCCCAGCACCATTTATTAAATAGGGAATCCATTCCCCATTGCTTCTTTTTGTCAGGTTTGTCAAAGATCAACTGCTTGTAGATGTGTGGTCATATTTCTGAGATCTCTATTCTGTTCCATTGGTCTATGTGTCTGTTTTTGTGTAATTACCATGCTGTTTTGGTTACTATAGCCTTGTAGTATAGTTTGTCATCAGGTAGCACAATGCCTCCAGCTTTGTTCTTTTTGCTTAGAATTGTCTTGGCTATATGGGCTCTTGTTTGGTTCCATATGAATCAATCTTTCTTTCTTTTTTTTTTTTTTTTTTGACAGAGTCTCACTCTGTCACCAGGCTGGAGTGCAGTGGCGCCATCTTGGCTCACTGCAACCTCAGCCTCCCGAGTTCAAGTGATTCTCCTTCCTCAACCTTCTGAGTAGCTAGGACTACAGGCACGTGCCACCACACCTAGCTAATTTTTGTATTTTTAGTAGAGATGGGGTTTCGCCATGTTGGCCAGGATGGTCTTGATCTCTTGACCCTGTGATCTGCCTGCCTTCCATATGAATTTTAAAGTAGTTTTGTCTAATTCTGTGAAGAATGTCAGTGGCAGTTTAATGGGAATAGCATTGAATCTGTAAATTACTTTGGGTAGTATAGCCATTTTTGCAATATTGATTCTTCCTATCCATGAGCATGGAATGTTTTGTCATTTGTTTGTGTCCTCTTATTTACTTGAACAGTGGTTTGTAGTTCTCCTTGAAGAGGTCTTTCACTTCCCTTGTTAACTGTATTTTGAGGTACTTTATGCTTTTTGTAGCAATTATTCATGGGAGTTCATTCATGATTTGGCTCTCTGCTTGTCTATTGTTGGTGTATAAGAATGCTTGTGATTTTTGCACATTGATTTTATATCTTGATACTTTGCTGAAGTTGCTTATCAGCTTAAGGAGCTTTGGGGCTGAGATGCAATGGGGTTTTCTAGACATAGAATTATGTCATTTGCAAACAGAGACAGTTTGACTTCCTCTCTTCCTATTTGAATATCCTTTATATTTTCCTCTTGTCTGATTGCCATGGCCAGAACTTTCAATACTATATTGAATAGGAGTGGTGAGAGAGGGCATCCTTATCTTCTGCCAATTTTCAAAGGGAATATGTCCAGCTTTTGTTCATTCAGTATGATATTGACTATGGGTTTGTCATAAATGACTCTTATTATTTTGAGGTATGTCCCATCAGTGCCTAGTTTTTTGAGAGTTTTTAACATTAAGGGGTGTTGAATTTTATTGAAGACGTTTTCTGTGTCTATTGGGATAATCATGTGGTTTTTCTCTTTAGTTCTCTTTATGTGATAAATTATTGATTTGTGTATGTTGAACCAGCCTCGCATTCCAGGAGTGAAGCTCACTTGATCATAATGGATAAACTTTTTAATGTGCTGCTGGATTCAGTTTGTCAGTATTTTATTAAGGATATTTGCAATAATATTCATCAGGGATATTGACCTGAAGTTTTCTTTTTCTGTTGTATCTCTGCCAGGTTTTGGTATTAGGATGATTTTGGCCTCATAAAATGAGTCAGGAAGAAGTACCTCCTTTTCAATGGTTTGGAATAGTTTTAGAAGGAATGGTACCAGATCCTTTTTGTACCTCTTGTAGAATTCAGCTGTAAATCAATCTGGTCCTGGGCTTTTTTTTTTTTTTTTTTTTTTTTTTGGTAGGCTATTTATTACTGCCTCAATTTCAGGACTTGCTATTGATCTATTCAAGGATTCAACTTTTTCCTGGTTCAGTCTTGGGAGGGTGTGTGTGTCCAGGAGTTTAATCATTTTTCTAGATTTCCTAGTTTATTTTCATAGAGGTATTTATAGTATTCTCTCATGGTTGTTTGTATTTCTGTGGCGTCTGTATTGTGTCTATTTGATTCTTCTCTCTTTTCTTCTTTATCAGTCAAGCTACCAGTCTATCTATTATATTAATTTTTTCAAAAATCCAGCTCCTGGATTCATTGATGTTTCGAAGCATTTTTCATGTTTCTGTCTTTTTCAGTTCCACTCTGATCTTGATTGTTTCTTGTCTTCTGCTAGCTTTTGGATTTGTTTGATCTTGATTCTCTAGTTCTTTTAGTTGTGATGTTATGGTGTGGATTTGAGATCTTCTAGCTTTTTGATGTGGGGATGTAGTGCTATAAATTTACCTCTTAACACAGCTTTAGCTGCATCCCAGAGATTCTGCTACATTGTCTCTTTGTTCTCATTGGTTTCAAAGAACTTCTTGTTTTCTGCCTTACTTTCGTTATTTACCTAGGAGTCATTTGGGAGCAGTTTGTTCAATTTTCATGTAATTATGTGGTTTCGAGTGAGTTTCTTAATCCTGAGTTCTAATTTGATTGCACTGTGGTCTGAGAGATTGTTATGATTTCTGTTCTTTTGCATTTGCTGAAGACTTTTTTACTTCCAAATATGTGATCGATTTTAGAGTAAGTGCCATGTTACACCAAGAAGAATGTATATTCTGTTGTTTTTGGATGGAGAGTTCTGTAGATGTCCATGAGGTCCACTTGATCCAGAGCTAAGTTCAAGCCCTGAATATTCTTGTTAATTTTCTCACTCAATTATCTGTCTAATATTGACAGTGGGGCATTAAAGTCTCCCAGTATTATTGTTTTGGAGTCTAAGTCTCTTTGTAGGTCTCTAAGAACTTGTTTTATAAATCTGAGTGCTCCTGTATTAGGTGCATATTTTATACTTAGGAGTTAGCTCTCTTGTTGAATTAATCCCTTTACCATTACGTAATGCCCTTCTTTTCTTTATTTTTGTTGATATAAAATCTGTTTTGCCAAAAACTAGGATTGCCACCTCTGCTTTTTTTCTGCTTTCCATTTTTTTTTGTAAATTTTCTCCCATCCCTTTATTTTCAACCTATGTGTGTTTGCCTGTAAGATGTATCTCTTGAATACAGCACACTGATGGGTCTTGACTCTATCCAGCTTGACATTCTGTCTTTTAATTGGGACTTTTAGCCCATTTACATTTAAGGTTATTATTGTTATGTGTGAATTTGATCCAGTCATCATGATGCTAGCTGATTATTTTGCAGACTTGTTGATGTAGTTGCTTCATAGTGTCATTGTTCTTTGCACTTCTGTGTGTTTTTGCAATGGCTGGTAACAGTTTTTCTTTTCCATGTTTTTTGCTTCCTTTTGGAGCTATTGCAAGGCTAGCCTGGTGGCTATGAATTTCTTCAGCATTTATTTTACTGAGAAGGATTTTATTTCTTTTTCATTTATGAAGCTTAGTTTGACTGGATATGAAATTCTGTGTTGCAAATCCCTTTTTTTTTCAGAATGTTGAATATTGGCCCCTAATCTCTTCTGGCTTGTAGGGTTTCTGCTGAGAGGTCTGCTGTAAGTCTGATGGGTTTCCCTTTGAAGGTGACCTGGCCTTTCTTTCTGGCTTCCACTAACATTGTCTCCTTCATTTTGACATTGGAGAATTTAATGATTATATGTCTTGGGGTTGATCTTCTCATGGAATATCTTACTGGGGTTCTCTAGATTTCCTGAATTTGAATGTTGGCTTGTCTTGTTTGGTAGGGAAGTTCTCCTGGATGATATCCTGAAGTATGTTTTCCAACTTTGTACCATTCTTTTCATCTTTTTCAGGTACCCCAATCGGTAATAGGTTCCCCTGGGAACTCGGTAGTCTTAGGCAGTCTTCAGCCAAGTGGCCACTGAGAATCTGCACAGCTTTGTGGTTGACACCTAAGGCCCATGTAATGTGGGCTCACAAGGGGGATCTTCTGATCTGTGGGTTGTACAGATTCATGGAACAACTGTGGTTTCCCAGGCAGGGTAGTAGGATCACTCACTGCCTCCCTTGGCTGTGGGTGGGAGCTCCTTTGCCCCATGTGGCTCCAAGGTGGGCTGTCACATCACCCTGCTTTTCCTTGCTCTTCGTGGGTTGCACCAACAGCCTAGTCAGTCCTAATGAGAGAACATGGATACCTCAGTTTGCAGTGCATGTTTCACTCCCCATTTTCATTCTTCTCAGTGGGAGCCTCCAACTGCAGCTGTTTCTAATCAACCACCTTGGCCCCTCCCTCAAAGGCATGTTGTTTAATTTCCATGTTTTTGTGCAGTTTTTAATGTTCCTCTTGTTATTGATTTATAGTTTTATTCCATTGTGGTCTGAGAAGATAGTTGATATTATTTAGAATTCAAAAAGAAATTGTTGAGACTTGTTCTGTGTCCTGACATATGTTTTGTGTCTCTCCTGGGGAATGCTCCATGTACTGAATAGAGGAATGTGTATTCTCTAGTTGTTGGATGAAATGTTCTGTATGTTTCTGTTAGGACCATTTTGTGTATAGTGCAATATTAATCCAATGTTTCTTTGTTACTTTTCTATCTGGAAGATATGTCAGATCCTGAGAGTGGGGTGTTAGAGTCCCAACTTTTATTGGAGTTTATCTCTTCTTTATATGTATATAATAGTATTTGCCTTATATATCTGGAGGCTTTGGTGTTCAGTGCATATATGTTAGATTATTTTATCCTTTGCTGAATTGATCTCTTTATAAGAATGTAATGACTTTTTTGTTTCTTTTCATTGTTTTTGATTTAAAGTCTGTTTTGTCTGGTAAAAGTACAGCTACTTCTCAATTTTGGTTTCTGATTGCATGAAATTTTTTTTCATCCATTCTTTTTCAGTCTCTATTTGTCTTTACAAGTGATATTCATTTCTTGAAGGTAGCATATAGTTTGTCCATTTTTTAAAAAAAATTATATTAATCTGGTCTATAACTTTTAGGTTGAAAGTTTAATCTGTTTACATTCAAGGTTATTATTGATATGGGAGGGTTTATTCTTATCATTTTACTAATTCATATCTGGTTGTTTTGTATAACCTTTGTTTCTTTCTTTCTCTCTTATTGTGAATAACTGATTTGTTGGTTTTCTCTAGTGGTAACACGTGAGTCATTTTCCTTTCTTATTTGAGTGTTTGGTCTACCAGTGTTTGCTCTACCAGTTTTGTACTTCTGTGTATTTTAATTATGGCTGATACAGTTTGGCTCTGTGTCCCCACCCAAATCTCATGTTGAATTGTAATCCCCATGTGTCAGGCAAGGCACCTTATAGGTGGTGATTGAATCATGGGGATGGATTTCACCATGCTGTTCTTATGATAGTGACTGAGTTCACACAAAATCTGATGGGTTAACAGTGTGGCACATCCCACATCCCCTCTCACTCTCTCTTTCTCCTTCTCTGCCATGTAAGACATGTTCGCTTCCCCTTCATCTTCCACTATAATTGTAAGTTTCCTGAGGCCTCCTATTTATGCTTCTTCTTAAGCCTGCAAAACTGTGAGTCAATTAAACCTCTTTTCTTCATAAGTTACCCAGTCTCAAGTAGTTCTTTATAGCAGTGCCAGAATGGACTGATACAGTGACATATGTTATCTTTTCATTTCCAGGTGTAGGACTTCCTTGAACTTTTCTTGTAGAACTGGTCTTGTGATGAATTCCTCAGATTTTCTTGTCTTGGAAATACTTTATTCCTTTTTATTTATGAAGGATAACTTTGCTGGGTGTGGTTTATTTGGCTGATAGTTTTTTTTCTTTCTTTCAGTACTTCGAATATATCATCCCATTCCATCCTGGTCTATAAGGTTTCTGCTGAGAAATCTGCTGTTAGTCTTATGAGGGCACCCTTATAAGTGACTAGACAGTTTTCTCTTGGCTGTTTTTAGAATTTTCTTCTTGTGTTTGTCTTGGTGGTGTGCCATAAAGAAAACCTTTTTGGCTTCCATGTATTTGGGGATTTCTGAGCTTCCTGTATATGGATGTCTACACTTGGAATGTTTTCAGTCATTATTTTATTGAGTAGGTTTTCTATCCATTTCATTTCTTCTCCACTTTTTGGTACACCACAAATTTAAGAATTTTGTAACTTTGTGGTGTCTTATGTTTCACATATACTTTGCACATTCTTTTATATTTTTTCTTTCATTTTCTGAGTATTTCATAAGGCCTTTCTTTACATTTTGAAATTCTTACTTCTGCTTGATCTAGTCTACTATTGAAGCTTCAGAGTAGATGTTATATTTTTTCAATGATTTTTTAGTTCCAAATTTTTGCTTGGCTCTTTTTGTATGATATTTACCTTTTTGGTAAATTTTTCATTTATATCCTGAATTAGTTTTTGGATTTCTCTATATTGTTTATCCAAGTTCTCTTATATCTCCCTGATCTTCTTTAATATCATAATTTTCAATTCTTTTTTCTGGGATTTGATAATTTTTCATTGGAATCTGTTTCAGTAAAATTATTATGTCCTTTGGAGGTGTCATTTCCCTTGCTTTTTCATGTTTCTTTTGTCATTATGTTGATATTTGAGTATCTGATGTAACTGCCATTTCTTCCGTTTTTGAAATTTATTTTTGTAGAGGAGGATTTTTTTGAAAATGTATGTATGGTGCTGGTTGGGCATGGCTATTTGGCTATGATTTTTGGTGCATGCAGTAGTGTAGTCTTCGTATATTTCTTCAGCTGTAAAGTGTCAGTGATTTCTGTGATTCCCTCCATTCTTTAGGGTGCAGTAGTTCTTGGAAGTTGTAGTTAAATTTTGCTTGGAAAGGAGATAGCATGCCTTTCAAACCAACAACAACATACACTGGCATTAGTATTAGCAGGTCTAGGCTTATTGATTTTTTGTCCTCTAGATGGCTTGCTTTGGTGTTAGCATTAGCAACGATGGGCAGATAAGTGGGTTGGTTCTTGGGTACCTGGGTACTATGTGTTGCATGGGTAATGGCAATAGCAGTGTTGGGACAATTTTCTGGCTCCAGAGTGGTCTGCACTTGTGTTGGTGGTGGCTGTGACAAGCTGGGCAGGTCAGTACCCATAATTATTTGTGGTTCATGAAGGTGAGTGCCATCTGTAGTGATAGTGGCAGATTGTTATGTACTGGGTGGGGTGGAGCTGGGGCAGTCAGGCCTGTCTCCAAGGCTTAAATGTGTTAGGCAGAAGTGGGGTCACCCCAACCCCATTGGATTGCTTAGGTGGTGGCAGCAGTGGCTGCTCTGTGATCCTACTGTGCAGCAGGAAAGAGTTGCTTTCAGTGGTAGCAGTCATTTCCATGAGCTAAGGAGCACACACTTCAGCCCCAAATGGTGACTGCAATAAGGGTAGCCTCTCCTTCAAGTGCTTTTACGTATGCTCTAGCCCTGATATTAAGAGCAACAAGGTCACTGCTAATTAATCACAAGTTGGCTGTTGCAGGAGCAGCAAGCAGCAGTGCTCAGCTGTAAGTGGGGTATATAAATGCAGCTCTAAGTATGTTGAGATCCAGGGGCTGTTGGTCTCCGGGGTAGCAGACAATCTGGTGGGACCTGGGTTCACAAAAAGGCATGTTTTTTTAGCTGCTTAAGACTCTGAGGGTGTATGGAACTTAGTGTGAGCTTTCTGTCTGGATTAATGTCACCTTGCCATCTCTAGGTAGCTCCCTATGTTAGTCTCAGTGCCTTCATATGTTGTGACAAGAATTGCTGAAATTCATGGTGGGAGTGTGGATCACTGGGAGTCACTCATTTACCCTTTCCCTGTGTTGCTGAGCCACTCCAAACTCTCAGCTAGTTTTTGCTGAGCAGGGTGCCTTCTTTTCCTCTCCTTTCTTCCGTAGATATTTTCTGGCACTTCTCTGTTAAATTCCACATTGAAGGGTGATTTTCTACTTGCCATTTTCCTTTATTTTTGGAAAAGAAGGCAAGTACCAGATGCCTCTAATCAGTCATCTTGAAGCCTCTCTGTTTGAGTGGAATATCTTTTTTTAAAATCCCATCAATTTCAGTCTATAGGTATCTTTAGAGTCAAGGGGAATAAGTTTGTATTGCTCTCAAGGTATACTTGAGGCCAGGTAATTTATAAAGAAAAGAGGTTTATTTGGCTCATGGTTCTGCCTGCTGTATGAGAAACATGGCACTGGCACCTTCATCTGAAGAGAGCCTTAGACTGCTTCCACTCATGGTGGAAGTGAATGAGAGCAGGTGTGTGCACAAATAGTATGGCAAGAGAAAGCAAAAGCAATGGGAGAAAGGTGCCATGTTATTTTAAACAACTGGGTCTTACAGAAACTAATAGAGAACTTACACATTACCATGAGGTCAGCAAACCATTAAAGGTCAGGAAACCATCCATTTCCATGACCCAAAAACCTTCCACTAGGCCGCACCTCCAACACTGAAGATTAAATTTCAACATGAAATTTTGAAGAGATAAATGTCCAAATGATATCAGTGAGTTTACTGTAGGCAGCATATAGTTGGATGGTATTTTTTAAAGCCACTTAACCAGTCTATATCTTTTAAGTGAGGAATTTAATTTATTCACATTCAAGGTTATTGTTAATAGGTGAGGACTTATTCTTATAATTTTGTTGAATTTTTTTGGAGTTTTGTATATTTTTTTTTCTTTTCTTCTTGTTTCATTGTTTATCATTTGCAGTTTGGTGGTTTGCTGTAGTGGTAACACTTGAGTCATTCCTATTTGTCATTTGTGTGTATGCTCTACCAGTAAGTTTTCTACATCCTCATATTTTCATGATGGTAGATATCATACATTCATTCTTTCACTTTCATATGTAGGATTTCTGTAAGCATTACATTTAGGGCTTGTCTAGGGGTAGTAGATTGTCTAAGTTTCTGCTTATCTGAGAAAAATCATTATTTTCTTTTAATTTTATTTTAGGTACAGAAGTTATATGTGCAGATTTGTTTCATGGGTAAATTGTATGCCACTGGGAATTGACATACAAATGATTTGTCACCCAGGTAGTGAGTATAGTACCGGATGGGTAGTTTTTTGAACCTCACTTCCCTCCTACCATCTACCCTCAAGTAAATCTTAGTGTCTATTGTTTTATTTCTTGTGTCAATGTGTATTTAATGTTTAGCTCTCCCTTATACATGAGAACATGTGGTATTTGGTCTTCTCTTCTTGTGCTCATTTGCTTAGGATAATGACCTCCAGCTGCATCCATGTTGCTACAATAAATAAGGTTTTATTATTTTGATGGCTGTGTAGTATTTCATGGTGTTTGTGCATATTATTTTTATCATATAGTATCCCATTGATAGGCATCTAGGTTGATTCTGTCTTTTTGCTATTGTTAGTAGTGCTGCAGTGAAAATATGTGTGTATGTGTCTTCATGGTAGAATGATTTATATTTCTCTCGATATATACCCAGTAATGGGATTGCTTGGTCGAATGTTAGTTGCATGTTAAGTTGTTTGAGGAATCTCCAAACTGCTCTCCAGAGTGACTGAACAAATTTATATTCTGACCAGCAGTGTGTAAGTATTCCATTTTCTCTGCAACCTTGCCAGAATCTGTTATTTTTTTGACTTTCTAATAATAGCTATTCTGACTGTTGTGAGATGGTATCTCATTGTGGTTTGATTGGCATTTTCCTAAAGATTAGTGATGTTAAGCATTTTTTCATATGCTTGTTGGCTACGTGTATGCCTTCTTTTGAGAAGTGTCTGTTCATGTTCCTTGCCAGATTGTTTATAAGTTTGTTTCCTTTTTTTCTCATTGATTTGTTTAAGTTCCTTACAGATTCTGGATACAGGGTTTTGCCAGATGCATAGCTTGAAAATATTTTCTTTCATTCTGTGGGTTGCCTGTTTACTCTGCTGATAGTGGGTTTTTTTTTCTATGCAGAATCTCTTTACTTTAATTAGATCCCACCTGTAATTTTGTTTTTGTTTTTGTTGCAATTACTTTTAATGCCTTCATCATGAAATCATTGCCAAGACTAATGTCCAGTATGGTATTTCCTAGGTTTTCTTCTAGGGTTTTTAAAGTTTTATGTTTTACATTTGAGTCCTCACTCTATCCTGAATTGATTTTTGTATATGGTGAAAAGAAGGGGTGTGGTTTTAATCTTCTGCACATGGCTAGCCAGCTATCTCAGTAACATTTACTGAATAAAAAGTTATTTCTCTATTGCTTGATTTTGTTGACTTTGTTAAAAACGAGACGGTTTAGGTGTAAAGCTTTATTTCTGGGTTCTCTAACCTGTTCCATTGATCTATGTGTCTGCTTTTATACCAGCATACTCTTTTGATTACTGTAACCTGGTGGCATAGTTTGAAGTCAAGTAATACGATGCCTCCAACATTATTATTTTCTTAGAATTGCCTTCACTATTCAGGTTATTTTTTGGTTCCATATGAATTTTAGAAGGGATTGTTTTCTAATTCTGTGAAAAATGTCTTTGGTAGGTTTACAGAAATGGCATTGAAGCTGTAAATTGCTTTGTGTAGAATGGTGATTGTAACAATATTGATTCTTTATATTCATGAGCATAGAATGTTTTTTCATTTGTTTGTTTTGTCTTTCATTTCTTTCAGGAGTATTTTGTAATTAATTTTGTAGAGATCTTCCACCTCTGGTGGTTGTTTTATTCCCAGGTCTTTTTATTTCTTTGTCTGGCTATAGGGAGTGGGATTGCATTCTTGATTTGGCTCTCTGCTTGAATGTTGATGGTTTAAAGAAATGCTCCTAAGTTTTATTCCCTGATTTTGTATTCTGAAACTTTGCTAAAGTGGTTTATCAGATCCAGGAGCCTTTGGGCAGAGCCTATAGGGTATATATAGAATCATATTGTCAGCAAAGAGAAATAGTTTGACTTCCTTTCTTTCTATTTAGATGACTTTTATTTCTTTCTCTTGCCTGGTTGCTGTGGTTAGGACTTCCAGTACTTTGTTAAACAGGAGTGATGAGAGTGGACATCTTTGTCTTGTTCTAGTTATCAAGATGAATGCTTTCTGCATTTTCAGCTATGTGTTTGCCATAGACGGCTCTTGTTGGTTGAAGTATGTTCCTTTGATGCTTAGTTTCTTGAGATTTTTTTTTCTTTTTTTATTTTATTATTATTATACATTAAGATTTAGGGTAAATGTGTACAATGTGCAGGTTAGTTACATATGTATACATGTGTCATGTTGGTGTGCTGCACCCATTAACTTGTCATTTAGCATTAGATATATCTCGTAATGCTATCCCTCCCCCCTCCACCCACCCCACAACAGTCCCCAGAGAGTGATGTTCCCCTTCCTGTGTCCATGTGTTCCCATTGTTCAATTCCCACCTATGAGTGAGAACATGCAGTGTTTGGTTTTTTGTCCTTGTAATAGTTTACTGAAAATGATAATTTCCAATTTGATGCATGTCCCTACAAAGGACATGAACTCATCATTTTTTGTGGCTGCATAGTATTACATGGTGTATATGTGCCACATTTTCTTAATCCAGTCTATCATTGTTGGACATTTGGGTTGGTTCCCAGTCTTTGCTATTGTGAATAGTGCCGCAATAAACATACATGTGCATGTGTCTTTATAGCAGCATGATTTATAACCCTTTGGGTACATACCCAGTAATGGGATGGCTGGGTCAAATGGTACTTCTAGTTCTAGATCCCTGAGGAATCGCCACACTGACTTCCAGAATGGTTGAACTAGTTTACAGTCCCACCAACAGTGTAAAAGTGTTCCTATTTCTCCACATCCTCTCCAGCAAATGTTGTTTCCTGACTTTTTAATGATTGCCATTCTAACAGGTGTGAGATGGTATCTCACTGCGTTTTTGATTTGCATTTTTCTGATGGCCAATGAATGTGAGCATTTTTTCATGTGTTCTTTGGCTGAATAAATGTCTTCTTTTGAGAAGTGTCTGTTCATATCCTTCACTCACTTTTTGATGGGGTTGTTTGTTTTTTTCTGGTAAATTTGTTTGAGTTCATTGTAGATTCTGGATATTAGCCCTTTGTCAGATGAGTAGGTTGCGAAAATTTTCTCCCATTTTGTAGGTTGCCTGTTCACTCTGATGGTAGTTTCTTTTGCTGTGCAGAAGCTCTTTAGTTTAATTAGATCCCATTTGTCAATTATGGCTTTTGTTGCCATTGCTTTTGGTGTTTTAGACATGAAGTCCTTGCCCATGCCTATGTCCTGAATGGTAATACCTAGGTATTCTTCTAGAGTTTTTATGGTTTTAGGTCTACCATTTAAGTCTTTAATCCATCTTGAATTAATTTTTGTATAAGGTGTAAGGAAGGGATCCAGTTTCAGCTTTCTCCTTATGGCTAGGCAGTTTTCCCAGCACCATTTATTAAATAGGGAATCCTTTCTGCATTGCTTGTTTTTCTCAGGTTTGTCAAAGATCAGATAGTTGTAGATATGCGGCATTATTTCTGAGGGCTCTGTTCTGTTCCATTGATCTATATCTCTGTTTTGGTACCAGTACCATGCTGTTTTGGTTACTGTAGCCTTGTAGTATAGTTTGAAGTCAGGTAGCATGATGCCTCCAGCTTTGCTCTTTTTGCTAATGATTGACTTGGTGATGTGGGCTATTTTTTGGTTCCATATGAACTTTAAAGTAGTTTTCTTCCAATTCTGTGAAGAAAGTCATCGGTAGCTTGATGGGGATGGAATTGAATCTGTAAATTACCTTGGGCAGTATGGCCATTTTCACGATATTGATTCTTCCTACCCATGAGCATGGATTGTTCTTCCTTTTGTTTGTATCCTCTTTTATTTCCTTGAGCAGTGGTTTGTAGTTCTCTTTGAAGAGGTCCTTCACATCCCTTGTAATTTGGATTCCTAGGTATTTTATTCTCTTTGAAGCAATTGTGAATGGGAGTTCACTCATGATTTGGCTCTCTGTTTGTCTGTTTTTGGTGTATATAAGAAAGCTTCTGATTTTTGTACATTGATTTTGTATCCTGAGACTTTGCTGAAGTTACTTATCAGCTTAAGGAGATTTTGGGATGAGACAATGGGGTTTTCTAGATATACAATCATGTCATCTGCAAACAGGGACAATTTGACTTCCTCTTTTCCTAATTGAATACCCTTTATTTCCCTCTCCTGCCTAATTGCCCTGGCCAGAACTTCCAACACTATGTTGAGTAAGAGTGGTGAGAGAGGGCATCCCTGTCTTGTGCCAGTTTTCAAAGGGAATGCTTCCAGTTTTTGCCCATTCAGTATGATATTGGCTGTGGATTTGTCATAGATAGCTCTTATTATTTTGAGATATGTCCCATCAATACCTAATTTATTGAGAGTTTTTAGCATGAAGGGTTGTTGAATTTTGTCAAAGGCCTTTTCTGCATCTATTGAGATAATCATGTGGTTTTTGTCTTTGGTTCTGTTTATATGCTGGATTACATTTATTGATTTGCATATGTTGAACCAGCCTTGCATCCCAGGGATGAAGCCCACTTGATCATGGTGGATAAGCTTTTTGATGTGCTGCTGGATTCGGTTTGCCAGAATTTTATTGAGGATATTTGCATCAATGTCCATCAAGGATATGGGTCTAAAATTCTCTTTTTTGGTTGTGTCTCTGCCCGGCTTTGGTATCAGGATGATGCTGGCCTCAAAAAATGAGTTAGGGAGGATTCCCTCTATTTCTGTTGATTGGAATAGTTTCAGAAGGAATGGTACCAGTTCCTCCTTGTACCTCTGGTAGAATTCGGCTGTGAATCCATCTGGTCCTGGACTCTTTTTCGTTGGTAAGCTATTGATTATTGCCACAATTTCAGAGCCTGTTATTGGTCTATTCAGGGATTCAACTTCTTCCTGGTTTAGTCTTGGGAGAGTGTATGTGTCGAGGAATTTATCCATTTCTTCTAGATTTTCTAGTTTATTTGCGTAGAGGTGTTTGTAGTACTCTCTTGTGGTAGTTTCTATTTCTGTGGGATAGGTGGTGATATCCCCTTTATCATTTTTTATTGCATCTATAGGATTCTTCTCTCTTTTCTTCTTTATTAGTCTTGCTAGCGGTCTATCAATTTTGTTGATCCTTTCAAAAACCAGCTGCTGGATTCATTAATTTTTTGAAGGGTTTTGTGTGTCTCTATTTCCTTCAGTTCTGCTCTGATTTTAGTTATTTCTTGCCTTCTGCTAGCTTTTAAATGTGTTTGCTCTTGCTTTTCTAGTTCTTTTAATTGTGATGTTAGGGTGTCAATTTTGGATCTTTCCTGCTTTCTCTTGTGGGCATTTAGTGCTAGAAATTTCCCTCTACACACTGCTTTGAATGTGTCCCAGAGATTCTGGTATGTTGTGTCTTTGTTCTCGTTGGTTTCAAATAACAACTTTATTTCTGCCTTCATTTCGTTATGTACCCAGTAGTCATTCAGGAGCAGGTCATTCAGTTTCCATGTAGTTGAGCGGTTTTGAGTGAGTTTCTTAACCCTGAGTTGTAGTTTGATTGCACTGTGGTCTGAGAGATAGTTTGTTATAATTTCTGTTCTTTTACTTTTGCTGAGGAGAGCTTTGCTTCCAAGTATGTGGTCAATTTTGGAATAGGTGTGGTGTGGTGCTGAAAAAAAATGTATATTCTGTTGTTTTTGGGTGGAGAGTTCTGTAGATGTCTATTAGGTTCTCTTGGTGCAGAGCTGAGTTCAATTCCTGGGTATCCTTGTTGACTTTCTGTCTCGTTGATCTGTCTAATGTTGCCAGTGGGGTGTTAAAGTCTCCCATTATTATTGTGTGGGAGTCTAAGTCTCTTTGTAGGTCACTCAGGACTTGCTTTATGAATCTGGGTGCTCCTGTATTGGGTGCATATATATTTAGGATAGTTAGCTCTTCTTGTTGAATTGATCCCTTTACCATTATGTAATTGCCTTCTTTGCCTCTTTTGATCGTTGTTGGTTTAAAGTCTGTCTTATCAGAGACTAGGATTGCAACCCCTGCCTTTTTTTGTTTTCCATTTGCTTGGTAGATCTTCCTCCATCCTTTTATTTTGAGCCTATGTGTGTCTCTGCCCATGAGATGGATTTCCAGAATACAGCAGACTGATGGGTCTTGACTCTTTATCCAGTTTGCCAGTCTGTGTCTTTTAATTGGAGCATTTAGTCCATTTACATTTAAAGTTAATATTGTTATGTGTGAATTTGATCCTGTCATTATGATGTTAGCTGGTTATTTTGCTCATTAGTTGATGCAGTTTCTTCCTAGTCTCGATGGTCTTTACATTTTGGCATGATTTTGCAGTGGCTGGTACTGGCTGGTACTGGTGTTGATCTAAAATCGACACCCTAACATCACAATTAAAAGAACTAGAAAAGCAAGCACAAACACATTCAAAAGCTAGCAGAAGGCAAGAAATAAATAAAATCAGAGAAGAACTGAAGGAAATAGAGACACAAAAAACCCTTCAAAAAATTAATGAATCCAGGTGCTGGTTTTTTGAAAGGATCAACAAAATTGATAGACCACTAGCAAGACTAATAAAGAAGAAAAGAGAGAAGAATCCTATAGATGCAATAAAAAATGATAAAGGGGATATCACCACCTATCCCACAGAAATAGAAACTACCACAAGAGAGTACTACAAACACCTTTATGCAAATAAACTAGAAAATCTAGAAGAAATGGATAAATTCCTCGACACATACACTCTCCCAAGACTAAACCAGGAAGAAGTTGAATCCCTGAATAGACCAATAACAGGCTCTGAAATTGTGGCAATAATCAATAGCTTACCAACCAAAAAGAGTCCAGGACCAGATGGATTCACAGCCGAATTCTACCAGAGGTACAAGGAGGAACTGGTACCATTCCTTCTGAAACTATTCCAATCAACAGAAATAGAGGGAATCCTCCCTAACTCATTTTTTGAGGCCAGCATCATCCTGATACCAAAGCCGGGCAGAGACACAACCAAAAAAGAGAATTTTAGACCCATATCCTTGATGGACATTGATGCAAATATCCTCAATAAAATTCTGGCAAACCGAATCCAGCAGCACATCAAAAAGCTTATCCACCATGATCAAGTGGGCTTCATCCCTGGGATGCAAGGCTGGTTCAACATATGCAAATCAATAAATGTAATCCAGCATATAAACAGAACCAAAGACAAAAACCACATGATTATCTCAATAGATGCAGAAAAGGCCTTTGACAAAATTCAACAACCCTTCATGCTAAAAACTCTCAATAAATTAGGTATTGATGGGACATATCTCAAAATAATAAGAGCTATCTATGACAAATCCACAGCCAATATCATACTGAATGGGCAAAAACTGGAAGCATTCCCTTTGAAAACTGGCACAAGACAGGGATGCCCTCTCTCACCACTCTTATTCAACATAGTGTTGGAAGTTCTGGCCAGGGCAATTAGGCAGGAGAGGGAAATAAAGGGTATTCAATTAGGAAAAGAGGAAGTCAAATTGTCCCTGTTTGCAGACGACATGATTGTACATCTAGAAAACCCCATTGTCTCAGCCCAAAATCTCCTTAAGCTGATAAGCAACTTCAGCAAAGTCTCAGGATACAAAATCAATGTACAAAAATCAGAAGCTTTCTTATATACACCAAAAACAGACAAACAGAGAGCCAAATCATGAGTGAACTCCCATTCACAATTGCTTCAAAGAGAATAAAATACCTAGGAATCCAAATTACAAGGGATGTGAAGGACCTCTTCAAAGAGAACTACAAACCACTGCTCAAGGAAATAAAAGAGGATACAAACAAATGGAAGAATATTCCATGCTCATGGGTAGGAAGAATCAATATCGTGAAAATGGCCATACTGCCCAAGGTAATTTACAGATTCAATTCCATCCCCATCAAGCTACCAATGACTTTCTTCACAGAATTGGAAAAAACTACTTTAAAGTTCGTATGAAACCAAAAAAGAGCCCGCATTGCCAAGGCAATTCTAAGCCAGAAGAACAAAGCCGGAGGCATCACACTACCTGACTTCAAACTATACTACAAGGCTACAGTAGCCAAAACAGCATGGTACTGGTACCAAAACAGAGATATAGATCAATGGAACAGAACAGAGCCCTCAGAAATAATGCCGCATATCTACAACTATCTGATCTTTGACAAACCTGAGAAGAACAAGCAATGGGGAAAGGATTCCCTATTTAATAAATGGTGCTGGGAAGACTGGCTAGCCATATGGAGAAAGCTGAAACTGGATCCCTTCCTTACACCTTATACAAAAATTAATTCAAGATGGATTAAAAACTTAAGCGTTAGACCTAAAACCATAACAACCCTAGAAGAAAACCTAGGCATTATCATTCAGGACATAGGCATGGGCAAGGTCTTCATGTCTAAAACACCAAAAGCAATGGCAACAAAAGCCATAATTGACAAATGGGATCTAATTAAACTAAAGAGCTTCTGCACAGCAAAAGAAACTACCATCAGAGTGAAGAGGCAACCTACAAAATGGGAGAAAATTTTCGCAACCTACTCATCTGACAAAGGGCTAATATCCAGAATCTACAATGAACTCAAACAAATTTACAAGAAAAAAACAAACAGCCCCATCAAAAAGTGGGTGAAGGATATGATCAGACACTTCTCAAAAGAAGACATTTATGCAGCCAAAAAACATGAAAAAATTGTCATCATCACTGGCCATCAGAAAAATGCAAGTCAAAACCACAATGAGATACCATCTCACACCAGTTAGAATGGCAATCATTAAAATGTCAGGAAACAACATTTGCTGGAGAGGATGTGGAAAAATAGGAACACTTTTACACTGTTGGTGGGACTGTAAACTAGTTCAACCATTGTGGAAATCAGTATGGTGATTCCTCAGGTATCTAGAACTAGAAATACCATTTGACCCAGCCATCCCATTACTGGGTATATACCTAAAGGACTACAAATCATGCTGCTAGAAAGACACATGCACACGTATGTTTATTGCGGCATTATTCACAATAGCAAAGACTTGAAACCAACCCAAATGTCCAACAATGATAGACTGGATTAAGAAAATGTGGCACATATACACCATGGAATACTATGCAGCCATAAAAAATGATGAGTTCATGTCCTTTGTAGGGACATGGATGAAATTGGAAATCGTCATTCTCAGTAAACTATTGCAAGAACAAAGAACCAAACACCGCATGTTCTCACTCATAGGTAGGAATTGAACAATGAGAACACATGGACACAGGAAGGGGAACATCACACTCTGGGGACTGTTGTGGGGTGGGGGGAGGGGGGAGGGATAGCATTGGAAGATATACCTAATGCTAGATGACGAGTTAGTGGGTGCAGCACACCAGGATAGCACAAGTATACATAAGTAACTAACCTGCACATTGTGCACATGTACCCTAAAACTTAAAGTATAATAATAATAAAAAATAAATAAATAAATAGTAAATAAAGAAATAAAACAAAACAGCAACAATAAAAAAAAAAAGGAAAACCAAACACCGCATGTTCTCACTTATAAGTAGGAGCTGAATGATGAGAACACACGAACACAGGGAGGGGAACGACACACACTGGGGCCTGTCTGGGGGACCAGGAGGAGGAAAAGCATCAGGAAAAATAGGTAATGCGTGATGGGCTTAATACCTAGGTGATGGGTTGATAGCTGCAGCAGACAACCATGGCAAACTCTTTCCTATGTACCAAACCTGCACATCCTGCACATGTATCCCAGAACTTAAAATAAATTAACAAATAAAAAAACCAAGGCAAAGTGGTTTCTAGAGACAAGGTTTCGATTAATCATATACTCTAATTGAACCATTAAGCTCCTTCAAAAATAAAGAAAAATAAGGATTATAATTTATGTCATAGATATAAAGTTTACATATAATATATCAGATCATTTATTTATACATTTACTATGTATTTATTAAGTACCCCAATAAACTGCCATCTTTTTGAAAGCAGAAATGAAATTCCATTCATCTTTCTATCTAGCACTTGGAATAGTGTTGGTTACTTGGGAAGTGTTCAAGAAATGAGTTAATTAATTAGTGGACATATAAGAATATTCTGAGCTTAAGACACATATCGGTTTTGAAATTAAGATATTTTCAGTTTTTTAAATAATAAGAGCTTACTTTTGAACATTTAAAAGATGAAGTATGTTAGATGCAATAAAATTTATGGGCTCTATATTGTAAAAGCAGTAAATATTGTTTTATTTATTTATTTATTTATTCAATCTTTTTTGAAACAGAGTCTCGCTCTGTTGCCCAGGCTGGAGAGCAGTGGTGCTATCTTCGCTCACTGCAAGCTCTGCCTCCCAGGTTCAAGCGATTCTCTTGCCTCAGCCTCCCAAGTAGCTGGGACTACAGGCACGTGCCACCACACCCAGCTAACTTTTTGTATTTTTAGTAGAGATGGGGTTTCACTATGTTAGCCAAAATGGTCTCGAACTCCTGAACTCCTGATCTGCCCGCCTCAGCCTCCCAAAGTGCTAGGATTACAGGTGTGAGCCACCATGCCCGGCCCAACAGTAAATCCTGTTTTCACTGTCTAAACAGGTAAACAAAACAAAAGGCTTGGCTTCTCCCGGAAGGAGAAATTACAAAAAGAACTTAATCAAAATACAGTATTTATATTCTTTTATCTCAAATGAATACCTCAAATGCTCTATAACTGTCTAATATTTACAAGTCACTAACACTGAATATATCAGAATTTAACCACCATTGCATTATGAGTCCTAATGTATTCAGATTTTTAAATCACAGTCAGGAAATTATTTCTGTATAGTAACAGGAGGGCTATGGGAATAGTAAGAATTTTGGTTTTAGAGATTTCCATTATTATTCCAATCTATATGGATAATTACAGTGTAAACATTTTGTTTAGTGCAAGTCTTTTCTCACCACGCCCACTGCCGCACACAAAGGCAATTCTGATGATGTCACAAAATAAATGAGTCAGCTGTCAGTATAACTTGGTTTTAGTCTGGATTTTTTTTTTTAATTGTATGGCTGGAAACTATGCTGAAATCCCTAAATTCTCTGAACCTCAGTTTTTTCACTATTAAATGATAGAATTAAAGTAATACTTAAGGGTCAATTTTATGCTAACTTCAATTAATTAATTCTTTACATAATTTAACAAATATTTACCTTGTACTTACTATTAGAAGGCACCATTTTAGGCACTGATAAGAGTAGTAAATTGGAAAACAAAAACAAAAACAAAAAGACTGTACCTTATCTCAAAGAATTAATGCATTCTAAATGTGTAAACAGACAAACGAATGTCAGATACGATACAATACAATAGGATACAATAGGATACAATAGGATACAATACAATACAATACAATACAATACAATACAATACAATACAATACAATACAATACAATGTCAGATAGTGGTAAATGCTTGAAGCAAAACAAAGCAGGGTAATGCACTGAAAACTGATGTAGGCTAACACGAACAAGTGACATTTGTGCAGATAACTGAATGAAGTCTTTATTTTGAGGTAATTTTATTTGCAGTTGTGAAAAATAATACAAAAAACTTTATGTGCTATTTACCTAATTTTCTCCACCGGTTAAATCTTGCAGAACCGTAGTGTAATACAACTCAGCAATCTTTTTCAGTTTTCACCAATTTTGCATGTGCCAATTTGTGTGTGTTATCATGTATGTGCATATTTTGTTCTGTGCAATTTTATCTCGTGTAGTTGAGCACCAGAGTCAAAATATAAAGTAGATCAATAACCAAAAGGATCATTTCTGTTGCTTTTAATAACTACACCTAATTTTCCCACCATCAATAAATGGAATTATAAACTATGTAAATATTCTTTTTCTTTTTTTGTGGAATAGTGTCCTATAATATTATGTAACACAGTTTATTTGACATTCATCTATTGAAAAACATTTGAGCTCTTTCCAGTTTCGGGGAAATAAAGAGCAAAGTTAGTATCCAGTGGCATAAGTAAGATGGCATGTTAAAAAAGCCCCAGGCCCTTGCTACCCTCTAGAAACATCAAGTAAACCAAAACAGACTCATGAAAGTAACTTTGTGGGAGCTCTAAAATCCAGCCAAGAATCTGAAGCCTCCAAAAACAGTCAAGAAATCTTGCAGGTCACAAATCAATGGGATAATAATTTAATTTATAATTTATAATAAATTAGTTATGATAATAAAAAGAACTACAGCAACCTAAACAGGATGGTACTGATACAAAAACAGATACACAGGCCAATGGGACAGGTTAGGGTATCCAGAAATAAAGCCCCACACCTTCATCCATCTTATCTTTTACAAAATTTACAATAACAAGCAATACAAAAATGACTCCCTTTTCAATAAATGGTGCTGGAATAACAGGCCAGTCAGATGCATAAGATTGAAATTGGACCCCTTTCTTTCACCATATACAAAAACAACTCAAGATGGATTAAAGACTTAAATACTAAACCAAAAACTATAAAAACCCTAAAAGAAAACTTAGGAAATATCATTCTGGACATAGGCCCTGGCAAAGATTTCATGATGAATGCTCCAAAAGCAAATGAAACAAAAAGGAAACCTGACAAGTGGGACCTAATTAAACCAAAGAGCTTGTGCAAAGCAAAAGAAGAAACTATCCACAGAGTAAACAGACAACCTACAGAATGGGAGAAAATTTTTGCAAACTATGCATCTGAAAATGTTCCAATACCCTAGAGAACTTAAATTAACAAGCAAAAAACCAAACAGCCTCATGAAAAAAATGGGCAAAGGACATGAACAGACACTTCTGAAAGAAGAAATACAAGCAGCCAACAAGCATATGAAAACATGCTCAGCATCACTAATCATTAGAGAAATGCAAGTTAAAACCACAATGATATGCAATCTCATGGCAGTCAGAATGACTATTATTGATTGTCTGGGTGCAGTGGCTCATACCTGTATCCCCAGCACTTTGGGAGGCCAAGGCAGGCAGATCACCCAAGGTCAAGAGTTCGAGACCAGCTTGACAAACATGGTGAAACCCTGTCTCTACTAAAAATACAAAAATTAGCCAGGCTTGGTAGCAGTCGCCTGTAATCCCAGCTACTCGGGAGTCTGAGGCAGAAGAATTGCTTGAACACAGGAGGTGAAGGTTGTAGTTAGCTGAGATCATGCCACTGCACTCCAGCCTATTTGACAAGAGCAAAACCATCTCAAACAAAAAAAGACTATTATTAAAAAGTCAAAAAATAACAGATACTGATGAGATTGCAGAGAAAAGGGAATACTTATACATTGCTTGTGAGAATGTAAGTTAGTTCAACCACTGTGAAAGCAGTTTGGAGATTTCTCAAAAAACTTAACACAGAACTAACACTTGACCCAGCAATGTCATTACTAAATATACACCCACAAGAACATAACTTATTTTACCATAGTGGTATATGCATGTGTATGTTTATCACAGCACTATTCATGATAGCAAAGACAAGGTATCATCATAGCATAGATGCCCATCAATAATAGACTAGATAAAGAAAATGTGGTACATATACACCATGAAATACTACACAGCCATGAGAAATGAAATCATGTTCTTTGCAGCAACATGGATGAAGCTGGAGGACATTATCCTAAAGAAATTAATGCAGTGGCATAAAACTAGATACCACATGTTCTCAACTAAACATTGCATACAAATGGACACTAAAAAGCTAACAATAGGCCGGGTGTGGTGACTCATGCTTGTAATCCCAGCACTTTGGGAGGCTGAGGTGGGTAGATCACGAGGTCAGGAGATTGAGACCATCCTGGCTAACACGGTGAAACCCTGTCTCCACTAAAAGTACAAAAAATTAGCTGGGTGTGGTGGCAGGCACCTGTAGTCCCAGCTACCCGGGAGGCTGAGGCAGGAGAACGGCATGAACCCAGGAGGCAGAGCTTGCAGTGAGATGAGATCACGCCACTGCACTCCAGCCTGGGCAACAGAGTGAGACTCCATCTCAAAAAAAAAAAAAAAAGCTAACAATAAACACTGGGACCTACTTTAGGGTGGAGGGTGGGAGGAAGTAAGCATAAAAAACTAACAAGTACTGTGCTCATTATCAAAGAAATAATCTGTACACCAAACCCCAGTGACATGCAAGTTACCCATGTAACAAACCTGCACATGTACCCACCGAATCTAAAATAAATGTTAAAAAGGAAAATGTGTCAAGGAGGCACAAAGGTGAAACAACTGGCTCTTTAACAAATGTTGTTGGGAAAACTGGATAGGTATGAACAAAAGAATGAAACTGGACCCCTACTTTACACCATAAACAAAAATCAACTCAACATAGATAAAGGTTTTTTATTTATTTCAAAGTTTCTAACAGAAACTTTAAAACTCCAAAAAGGAAACATAGAAGAAAGCCTTGGCACTGATATTGGCAATGGTTTCTTGGCTATAACACCAAAAGCATAGGCAACAAAAGCAAAAATAAGTGAAAATATAAAGGATTATAAATCATTCTATTATGAAGACACATGCACGTGTATGTGCATTGCAGCATGATTCACAATAGCAAAGACATGGAATTAACCTAAATGCCCATCGATGACATATTGGATAAAGGAAATATGGTACATATACACCATGGAATACTATGCAGCTATAAAAAAGAATGAGATGATGTTTTGGGGGGGACATGGATGGAGCTGGAGGCCATTATCCTTGGCAAACTAATGCAGGAACAGAAATCCAAATACCCCATATTCTCACTTACAAGTGGGAGCTAAATGATGAGAACACACGGACACATAGAGGGGAACACCACACACTGGGGCCTATGGGAGGGTGGAAGGTGGAAGGAGGCAGAGGATCCAGAAAAATAACTAATGGATACTAGACTTAACACCTGGGTGGTGAAATAATCTCTACAACAAACCCCCATGACACATGATTACCTATGTAACAAACCTGCACAGTCTCCACATACACCCCTGAACATTGAAGATAAAAAAAAGAAGTGAAAATGTGTCAAACTAAAAAGCTCTGGACAGCAAAGGAAACAACAGAATAAAAATACAACCTACAGAAACAAAGAAAATATTTGTAACACATATATTTGAAAAGCGATTTATTTCCGAACTATATGAAGATGTCCTACAACTTAACAGAAAATAATACTAACAATCCTATTAAAAATGAGCAAAGGGCTTAGATATTTCTCCAAAGAAGATATACAAATAGTAACAGGTAAAAGATGCTCAACATATTTAATATTCAGAAAAATGCAATTCAAAACTTCAATAAGATATAACCTCCCACTTGTTATGATGAGTATTAAAAAAAAAGATTGCAGAGAAATTGGAATTTTTGTACACCGATGATGGGAATGTTAAATGGTGCAGCCATTATGGAAAACAGTGTTGAAATGCCTCAAAAAATTAAAAATATAACTGTCACCTGATCCAACAATTTCACTTCTGGGTATACACCCAAAATTATTGGAATTAGGATGTTAAAGTGGTATCTGCACTCCAATGTTTATTGAAGCACTATTCATAATAGCCAAGATATGGAAACAACCCAAATGTCCATTGACAGATGTATGAATAAAGAAAATTTGATATATACATACAATGGAATACTATTTGCTTTTTAAGAAGAAGAAATTCCTAGCACTTGCAACAACATGCATAAACCTCGGAGACATTATGCTAAGTGACATAAGCCAGTAACAGAAGGATAAATACTATATAATTCCACTTATATGATGTATCTAACATAGTCATACTCATAGCAGCAGAGAATATAATAGTGTTTGCCAGGTACTAGGGGGTATGGAAAATGAAGCATTGTTGCTCAATGGGTAATAGTGCCTATAGTTAACAATATGGTATTTTGAACTTCAAACTTTACTAATAAGGTATGCATTTTGTTCAGTGTTCTTACCACACCAAATAAAAGGAGCCCAAGGAAACTCATCAAATTGGACACATTAAATATGTGCAGTTCTTTGCATATGAATTATATCTCAATAATACTGTTACAAAAAAGACAGGAACCCATCTACCCAGTTCACTGTTGTATGTGGCACAGTTTCTACTACACAGTAGTGAATATTTGTAGTATGAAATAATGAGAGTTCTTTCAACCCATTGTTAAGTGTTCAACTGCAATAACAGTTGCCACATTAATACTATATGTTTGTCCATTCCACTACTGGTTTGATGTTTGAGGTTAGTTTTTTTTCAACTTTTTATTATGAAAATATTCAAACATATAGAAAGGTTGAAAAATAATATAATAACCATCTGAATATCAGTGATATAGATTAAAAAATTTTGTTAGATTTGCTTCATGTATAAATGTATGTATGCATATGTGTGTATGTAAGTGTGTATGGAGGCAGAGAGAGAGGAATCGTTTAATTTTGTTGTTATTGTTTTTTTGTTTGTTTGTTTGTTTGTTTTTGAGACAGAGTCTCACTCTGTGGCCCTGGCTGGAGTGTAGTGGTGTGATCTTGGCTCACTGTAGCATTTGCCTCCTGGGTTCAAGGGATTCTCCTGCCTCAGCCCCCCGAGTAGCTGGGATTACAGGTGTGCCACCACGCCCAGATAATTTTTGTATTTTTAGTAGAGATGCGGTTTCACCATGTTGGCCAGGCTGGTCTCAAACTCCTGACCTCAAGTGATCTGCTCTCCTCAGCCTCCCAAAGTGCTGGGATTACAGGTAGGAGCCACTGCGCCCAGCCTGTTATTGTTTTGATTTGTTGTCATCTTCAGAATATTTTGAAAATAAGTTATAGACATCATCACATTTTAGCACTGAGTACAACAACATTCAATTCCTAAGAATGACATCATTCTCCCATACAACCAAAGTATCATAATTGATCCTAATAAAATTAACAATCTCCTATATTTAATATTCATCTTATATTAAAAAACCCTAATTGTTCCCTAAATGTCTTTTATATATGACCTTGTTTTGATCTAGGATTCAATCATGGATTGCAAATCGCATTGATTTTTTAAATATAATTTTACCTTTTATTTTATATTTGGGGGTATATGTACATGTTCATTACATGGGTATGTTGCATGATGTCGAAGTTTGGGGTACAACTGATTCTGTCAACCAGGTACTGATAATAGTAGCCAAGAGCTAGTTTTTCAACTCCTGCCTCCCTTCCTACCTCCCTCTTCTGTTAGTCACAGTGTCTATTGTTGCCTTATGTTCACAGGTACCCAATGTTTAACTCCCACTTAAAGTGAGAACATGTGGTATCTTGTTTTGTGTTTCTGCATTAATTTGCTCAGAATAATTCACTTGCATCCATATTGCTGCAAAAAGACATGGTTTCATTCTTCCTTATGGCTGCATAGTATTCCATAGTGTATATGTGCCACATTTTTTTTTTTCCAACCCACCATTGATGGACACTTGTGTTGATTCCATGTCTCTGCAATCTTTTAAATTTCAACTTTTGTTTTAGATACAGGGGGTACGTGTGCACGTTTGTTACATGAGGATATTGTGTGATGCTGAGGTTTGGCATATGGATCCCGCCACCCAGGTAGTGAGCACAGTACCAGATGGGTAGTTTTTCAATCTATGCTCCTCTTCCTTCCTCCCCCAAACTAGGAGTCCACAGTGTCTATCGTTCTCCTACTTATGTTTATGTGTGTTCAACGTTTGGTTCCCACTTATAAGTGAGAGCATGTGGTATTTGGTTTTCTGTTCCTACATTAATTTGTTTAGGATTATGGCCCCCAACTGTACCCATGTTGCTGCAAAAGACAATTTCATTCATTTTCATGGCTGTGTAGTATTCCATGCTGTATACATATCACATTTTCTTTATCCAATCTAGAGCTGATGGGACCTGGGTTGATTACATGAATAGCACAGCAATGATCATAATATAACTGCATATGTCTTTTCATAGAATAATTTATTTTCCTCTAGGTACATAATCACCAATGGGATTACTGGGTTTAATGGTAGCTCTGTTTTAGGTTCTTTGATAAATCTCCAGACTGCTTTCCACATAAGTTGAACTAATTTATATTCCCACCAAGCGATCCACAATGTATAGGTGTTTCCTGTCTATGCAGCCTTGCCAGTATTTGTTGCTTTTTGACTTTTTAATAGTAGCCATTATTTTTTCAAAGATGGAGGATTGGAGGCATTATTAGCATGCTTCTACCTCTTGGAAAAAAATACTGTGTAGAGATTCACATGGTTAACTTTGTTTTCAAGAAACAACACAGGAACTTAACAGGAAAACTGAAAGAAACCACAGACCCTTTGAAAGAAGCATTGGGCTGCAGCCTACACTGTGAGACAGGTAGAAAACTGTAAGTCCTCAGAGTGTGAAAGGGGGATAAACTGCCTCAGGATACACACTCCCACCAGGTAACCTGGCAATCCTGGCTACAGGGGAAGGCCTTAAACCTTACTCAGCACTGGAACTGATTTAATGAGTGGTGGGGAGTATATGAGAAGAACTGGCATCAGGACATGCTTTGTGTACATTCCCAGACTCCAGCAGAGACAGAGGGAAGCCATTTCTGATTCTACCTCACAAGGGACCTTGTAGAAATCTGCAGCCTAACTCAAATGGCAGTTACAGGTTGACAGAAGCTCCCACCTGAGATTAGTAATATAATCTTGACTGGGGATAAACTCCCTTGGATAGAACTGAGAGGTGAGTGGGAAGTGTGCTGCAGAAACAGGTGCAGAAACTGGGTGACCCTGCTTCATGCACAGATTGGGAGGGGTGTGGCCAGAAAGCCAGAGTTGCTCTCCCCACTGAGAAGGCTATGGCCTGGGGCAGTTTACAGTTCTGAGCAAGACTTTCTAGAATGTAGTGAGCTGCTACCAGTTGAATGCTGTAAGTTTGAGTCCTGCATTGCCAAGTGTCCATTACAACATATACAGGCACAATAACAGGGTACAGGAAAGAGAACACATGTGTCTGATCTTAGCTATCTGAATTGCCTGCATCACCCGGGATAACCATGAGGTCCTCATTTTTTGTGACAAGTTCATTATTACTACAACTGGTATTTGAGAAAGCCAATGCACTAAGGCTATTTATAACCAAGAAATCTCACAGTCTGTGTCACTCCGCTGTCACCCCAATCAGAGCTGGTACTGGTAGCCACTGCTGGGAATGTAGAGGACAATTAACATCACTGGACCACTTGCAGACATTCCACAGCACCAGCCTGAAGTGTAGCAACCTCACTTGGTGGCTAGACTTAGAGGGGCGCTAGCATTCATAGTAGTCTGTCCCTAAGGGATTATTAAACCTGAGGGAAGGAGTGTGCACCACATCAAGGAAGTATTCCATGGGACAAAATTATCCAGATGGCAGGACTTGAGTCCCAGAACATTCCACATGTGGGTCGTTTCTTTCAGCAGAGGCATAGGTACAGTGCTGGGTTAAGTGGGGAAATTCTGGCTCCACCCTAATAGTCAGGCAGTCCTGGTGTTCATGAAGTACATTGTATAAGGGTACTTATTTTTCCTCTCATCCATCACTGAAGACAAAGATGGGACTTCTTTCCTCAGGGATAGACATGGGTGCACCTCTAGACAGACTTTTAAAAACACATCAGGGTGACCGCATCTCCATAGGAGAAGTGCCCTTCAGGTTCAGGCTTAAATGAAGAGTAGATTCACAATACCTTTCTATATGAAACATCAGCATTCCTGCAAATGAAAACCGGGGCCGGTCTGCCCTGAGTTGCTGGAATGATGGGTTGGGAGTGTGACTGGAAGGTGGATTCCTTTCCTGCTTGCCTGTCGTGCAAGCTGAGGTGGCTTCTTCCCTTCCCTCTGATAAGACCTCAGTGCATTTCAGGGAGAGCTCCCCCAGCCACTTCTGTTAAGGCTTGAACCTCTGCCCACTATTGTGTATTGCATTCACAAACTTGCTTTAGCCACAACTGCTTCATACTTGTGGACAACCACCCCACTGGTCTGAAGTCTGAACTGATTTGTGTGCAAGCTCACTCTCTCCTGTGTGGTTGGAGCTGCAGAAATTTCTTGAAGCTTATCTTATACCCCAGTGGTGTGTACTTATTTATTTATTTCCCCCCAATGTTTTATTTACTATGTTGGACAGTTCAGACTTCAGGCCACTGGGGAAAAAGTAGATAAGTAAGTGCACACAGCATCTGAGAATGTCACCATGCAAAGACTCTATATAACCAAGGAACTCATACAGTCTTTACCCGTGAAAGCACACAGAACCAAATTAGCTTACAATAAACTATAAACATTAAAGTTGCATCTCAAGAGGAAATAATAAAAAATCACGGTCAAATAAAAAATAAACTAAAAATATTTAGAAGAAATGCACTGCCCAAATAAGATAGAAACAGAAAAATAATTTTGGCAATATGACAAAACAAGGTTTTATAACAGCTGCCAAAGATCACACTAGCTCTTCAGCAATTGATCAAAACAAAGATAAAATATTTGAAATACCAGATAAATAATTCAAAATGTTGATTATTAAGCTACTCAGAAAGACACAAGAGAGAGGTGAAAATGAACATAAATAAATTAAGGAAAATAATTCAGAATATGGGTGAAAAATTTTCTAAGGAGATAGGTATTTTAAAGGAAAACCAATCATAACTAATGCAGTTAAAAGACATATTTAGAAAATTATAAAATGCAGTGAAAAGTTCTAACAATAGACTAAACCAAATAGAAGAAAGAATTTCAGGCCTCAAAGACTAGGCTTTGAATTTACCCAGTCAGCCAATAATAATGAAACAAAAAATTAAAAGAAATAAATTTTCCAAGAAATATGAAAATATATGAAATGGCCAAATATAAGAATAACTGATGCTACTGAGGTAGAAGAAAATGCAAAAAGTTTGTAAAATTTATTTGAGAGAATAGTTGTAAACTACCCTAGCATTGTTAGAGATTTAAACATCCAAATACAAGAAGCTCAAATAATTCTTGGGAGAATTATTGCAAAGAAGACATCACCAAGGCATATAGTCATCAGGCTATCTAAAGTCAAATTGAATGATGGAATTGTAAGAGCAATGAGACAAAATTATTAAGTAACCTATAAAGGAAAACTACAGACTAATAACAGACATCTCAGCAGAAATCTTACAAGCCAAAAGATATTGGGGTCCTACCTTTAGCCACTTTATACAAAAAAAAGAAAAAAAAAAACCTGTCAGCCATGAATTTTGTACCCAGCAAAACTAAGTTTCATAAATGAAAATTGTATTTGTCCATTTTCATGCTGCTGATAAAGACATACCCAAGACTGGGAAGAAAAAGAGGTTTAATGGACTTACAGTTCCACATGACAGGAGAGGCCTCAAAACAATGGTGGAAGGCAAGGATGAGCAAGTCACATCTTTCACAGATGGTGGCAGGCAAAGAGGAAGACTTTGTGCAGAGGGAAACTCCTGTTTATAAAACTATCAGAGCTCATGGGATTTATTCACTATCCTGAGAACAGCATAGGAAAGGCCCACTCCCATAATTCAATTACCTTCCACCAGGTTCCTCCCATGACACATGGGAATTGTGGGAGTTACAATTCAAAATGAGATTTGGGTGGGGACACACCCAAACCATATCATTCTTTCCCTGGCCACTCAAAATCTCATGTCCTCACATTTTAAAACCAATCATGCTTTCCTAACAGTCCCCCAAAGCCTTAATGCATTTCAGCATTAACTCAAAAGTCCATAGTCCAAAATCTCATCTGAGACAAGTCAAGTCCATTCTGCCTATGAGCTTGTAAAATCAAAAACAAGCTAGTTACTTCCTAGATACAATGGGCATACAGGTATTGAGTAAATACAGCCATTGCAAATGGGAAAAATTCTCCAAAACAGAGGGGCTACTGGCTACATGAAAGTCCAATATCCAGAAGGGTAGTCAAATCTTAAAGCTCCAAAGTGATCTCCTTTGACTCCATGTCTCTTATCCAGGCCATACTGATGCAAAAGATAGGTTCCCATGGTTTTGGGCAGCTCCAGCCCTGTGGCTTTTCAGGATACAACCTCCCTCCCTGCTGCTTTCATGGGCTGGTGTGGATTGTCTGTGGCCTTTCTAGGAGTACAGTGACAGCTGTCAGTGGATATACCATTCTGGGGTCTGGAGGACAGTGGCCTGCTTCTCACAGCTCCATTTGATGGTGCCCCAGTAGGGACTCTATGTGGGGGCCCCAACCCCACATTTCCCTTCTGCACTGCCCTAGTAGAGGTTCTCCATGCAGGCCCTACCCCTGTAGCAAACTTTTGCCTGGGTATCCAGGCATTTCCATACATCCTCCAAAAACTAGGTAGAGGTTCCTAAACCCCAATTCTTGACTTCTGTGTACTTACAGGCTCAACACCATGTGCAAGTTGCCAAGGCTTAGTGCTTTCACCCTCTGAAGCCATGGCCTGAGCTCTATGTTTGCCCCTTTTAGCCATGGCTGGAATGGCTGGGATGCAGGGCAACAAGTCCCTAAGCAGCACACAGAATGGGGACCCTGGGCCTGGCCCACAAAACCACTTTTCCTCCTGGGCCTCTTGGGCCTGTAATGGGACAGTGTGCTGTGAAGACCTCTGACATGCCCTGGAGACATTTTCCCCATTGTCTTGGGGATTAACATTTGGATCCTCGTTACTTATGGAAATTTCTGCAGCCACCTTGAATTTCTCCTCAGAAAATGGGATTTTCTTTTCTATTGCATTTTCAGTCTGCAATTTTTTTGAACTTTTATGCTTTCCTTCCCTTATAAAACGGAATGCCTTCAACAGCACCCAAGTCACCTCTTGAAAGTTTTGCTGCTTAAAAATTTCTTCTCCCAAATACTCTAAATCATCTCTCTCAAGTTCAAAGTTTTACAAATCTCTAGGTCAGGAGCAAAGTGCTTCCAGTCCCTTTGCTAAAACATAACAAGGATCACCTTCGCTTTAGTTCCCAACAAGTTTCTCATCTCCATCTGAGACCACCTCATCCTGGATTTCATTATCCATATAATTATCAGCATTTTGGTCAAAGTTATTCAACAAGTCTCTAGAGAGTTCTAAACTTTTCCACATTTTCCTGTCTTCTTCTGAGCCCTCCAAACTGTTCCAACCTCTGCCTGTTACCCAGTTCCAAAGTTGCTTCCACATTTTTTGGGTATCTTTTCAGCAGTGCCCCACTCTACTGGTACCAGTTTCTATGTTAGTCCATTTTAAAACTCCTGATGAAGACATACCAAAGACTGAAAAGTAAAAGCGGTTTAATGGACTTGTGGTTCCACATTGCTGGGGAGGCCTCACAATCATGGCAGAAAGCAAGAATGAGCAACTCACATCTTACATGGATGGTTGCAGGCAAAGAGAGAGAGTTTCTGCAGGGAAACTCCCATTTTTAAAACCATCATCAGGTCTCATGAGACTTATTTACTATCACAAGAACTGCACAGGAGAGGCCCACCCCCATGATCCAATCAGCTTCCACCGGGTTCCTCCCACAACATGTGGGAATTGGGGGAGTTAAACTTCAAGATGAGATTTGGGTGGGGACACAGCCAAACCATATCAAAGGTGAAATAAAATATTTTTCAGACAAGCAAATGCTGAGGGAATTTGTCACTGACAGACGAGCACTACAAGAAATACTGAAAGTTCTAAAGCTTAAAACAAAAGGGTAATATGCACCAGAATAGAACTTCTTGAAAGCATAAAGCTCACAGAATTTTTAAAACAATAACATAATGAAGAAAAATAAAATTTTAGATAACAATCAACATGATGATTGGAACAGTACCTCATATCTCAATATTTATATTGAATGTAAATGGTCAAAATGCTGCACTTAAAAGATGCAGATTGGCAGAATTAATAAAAATAAATTACAAACCAAATATTGTCTGTCTCTAGTTCACTCACCTAGCACTGTACCAAGGAAAAAAGATATTCCGTGCAAATAGAAACCAAAAGTAAGTAGGAGTAGCTATAGTTAAAAAAAGAAGACAAAGAACGTCATCAAACAATAAGAGTATTAATATGACAAGAAGATATTACAATTTATATATAAATGGACCCAATTCTAAAGCTCCCAGATTCATAAAACAATTATGACTAGACATAATAAAGGATATGGAAAGCAAAACAATAATGGGGGGGACTTTAACGGTCCATTGACAGCACTAGACAGATCACTGAGGCCAAAAGTCAATAAAGAAATACTAGACTTAAACTGCACTCTAGAAAAAAATGAGCCTAAAGTACATTTACAGAACATTCCACTGAATAACTGCAGCATATACATTCTTCTCATCAGCTCATGGAACATTCTTCAGGATAGACCTTATAATAGGCAACAACAGTCTCAATGTATTTTTAAAAATCAAAATTATATCAAGTATATTCTTAGACCAAAGTGAAATAAAACTAAAAATCAATTTCAAAAGGATTCTTCAAAGTGACACAAATACATGGAAATTAAGGAATCTTCTCCTAAATAATTTTTGAGTTAATCATAAAATCAAGATGGAAATTTTTAAAAATTTCAAAGTGGATGATAACAGTGATACAAGTTATAAAAATCTCTGGGACACAGGAAAATTAGCACTACGAGGAAAATGTATAGCACTGAATGCCTACATCAAAAAGTCTGAAATAGCTCACATTGATAGCCTAACATCACACCTCAAGAATTAGAAAAACAAGAACAAACTAAACCTTGTGCTAGCAGAGGAAGAAATAATAGAAATCGCAACAGAAGTAAATCAAATTGAAACAAAAAACATAAAAGAGCAATGAAACAAAAAGTGGGTTCTTTGAAAATATAAATAAAATCAATAGATCATTAGCTAAATTAACCAAGAAAAGAAGGGAGAAGATTAAAATTAATTCAATTAGAGATTAAAATGGAGACATTATAACTGATACCACTAAAATACAAAAGATTATTTGAGACTACTATGAACAGCTCTATGCACACAAACTAAAAAATTCAGAGAAAATGAATGAATTCCTGGAAACACACAGAACCCCTGAAGCCTGAATCAGGATTAAATAGCAATCTGGGACAGAACAATAAAAAACAGTAAAATTCAACCAGTAATAAAAAAAAAGTCAACAAAATAAAACCCAAGGCCAGAAAGATGCACAGCAGATATTCTATCAGACATTTAAAGAAGAATTGGTACCAATTCTGCTGAATCTATTCCAAAAGATAGAGAAAGAGGGAATGGTTTCTAATTTATTATAAAAACCAGTATTACTCTAATACCAAAACAAGGAAAGGACATAACAAACAAACAAACAAAGGAACTACAGACCAATATCTCTGATGAATAGAGATGGAAAACAAAAACAAAAACAAAAACCCAAACAAATACTGGCAAACCAAATCCAACAGCACATCAGATAATTCACCATGATTAAGTGGGTTTTATTCCAGGGAAGCAGGGATGGTTCAACATATGCAATTCAATAAATGTCAACATTACATTAACAGAATTATAAACTAAAGCCATATGATTATCTCAATAGATGCAGGAAAAGCATTCAATAAAATCCAGCATCCCTTTATAGTAAAAACCTTCAACAAGGTAGACACAGAAAGGACATTCCTCAAAATACTGGAAGCCATTATGACAAACACACAGCCAACATCATACCAAATCCAAATAGGAAAATGTTGAAAGCATTAGCCCTAAGAACTGGAAAAAGACTACAATGCTCACTTTTATTACTTGTATTCAACAAAGAACTGGAAGTCCTAGGCAAAGCAACCAGGTAAGAGAAAGAAATGAAGGGCATTCATATTGGAAAAAGAAAGTTAAACTATCTCTGTTTGCTGATGGTATGATTATATACCTAGAAAACCCTAAATCCTCAACCAAAAGATGCCTAGATTTGATAAATCAATTCAGTAAAGTCTCAGGTTATAAAATCGATGTGTACAAAATGCACTGCTATACCTCAACAATGTCCAAGCTGAGAATCAAATCAAGAGCTCAGTCCCTTTTACAATAGCTGTAAGAAAAATAAGATAACTAGAAATATACTTAACTAAGGAGGTGAAAGATCTCTACATGGAGAACTACAAAATACTGCAGAAAGAAATCATAGATGACACAAGCAAATAGAAATAAAGATGACATGAACAAATAGAAATACATCCCATGCTTATTAATTGGAAGGATCAATATTGTCAAAATGAGCATACTGACCAAAGCAATCCATAGAATCAATGCAATTCCTATCAAAACACCAATATCATTTTTTATGGAATTCAAAAAAACATTTCAAAAATTCTATAATATGGTTTGGCTCTGTGGCCCCACCCAAATCTCATGTTGCCTTGTAATCCCCAGTGTTGGGGGAGGGACCTGGTGAGAGGTGATTGGATCATGGAGGCAGATTTTTCCCTTGCTGTTTTTGTGATAGTGAATGAATTCTCACAAGATTTGGTTGCTTGAAAGAGTGTAGCACTTCCCCCTTTGCTGTCTCTCCTAGTGGCCATGTGAAGATGTCCAGGATTCCCCTTCACCTTCTGCCATTATTGTAGTTTCCTGAGTCCTCCCCCAAAGCAGAAGCCTGAACAGCCTGCAGAACTATAAGCCAATTAAACCTCTTTTTTTAGTTTCAGGCATTTCTTTACAGCTGTGTGAGAAAGGACTAATATAGTATGAAACAAACAAAAAAGCCTGAATAGCCAAAGCAATCCTAAGCAAAAAGTACAAATCTGAAAGCATCACATGACCCAACTTCAAATTATACTACAAAGCTAGCATATCCAAAACAGCATTGTACTGGCATAAATGTAGATATATAGACCAATGTAATAGAAGAGACAACTCAGAAATAAAGCCAAATACTTACAACCAACTCATCTTTAACAAAGCAGACAAAAATATATATTGGAGAAAGGACATGCTATTCAATAAATGGTGCTGGGAAAACTGGATAGCCACATGCAGAAGAATAAGACTGAATTCCAATCCCTTACGGTCTACAAAAATCAACTCAAGATGAATGAAAGACTTAAATCTAAGGCACAAAACAATAACAATTTTAGAAGAGAAACTAGAAAAACACTTTTGTACGTTGGCCTAGGCAAATAATTTATAACTAAAAATCCAAAAGCAAATGCAACAAAAAGAAAAATACATGGCACCTAATTAAAAATCTTCTGTACAGCAAAAGAAATAGTCGTCATAGTAAACAGACAGCCCACAGAATGGAAGAAAATATTTGCAAACTATGCATCTGGCAAAGAACTAATGTCAGGAGTCTACAAGAAACCCAAACAAATAAGCAAGAAAAAAATGATTCTATCAAACAGTGGGCAAATAACACAAATACACATTTCTCCAAAGAAGAATATCACTAATCATCAGGGAAATGCAAATTAAAATCACAGTGAGATATCACCTTAACCCAGTGAGAATTAAAAGACCATGATTAAACAGTCAAAAAACAATAGGTGTTGGTGTGGATGGAGTGAAAAGGGAAAACTTAAACACTGCTGGTGTAAATGTAAATAAGTATAAACTCTATGCAAAACAGCACCAGGGATTTCTCAAAGAACTAAAATTAGACCTACCATTCGATCCAGCAATCCCACTGGTGGGTATCTACCTAAAGGAAAATAAGTCATTATATAAAAAAGACCCCTGCATATGTATGTTTATCACAGCACAATTTACAATTGCGAAGATATGAATCCAACCTACGTGCCTATCAATGGATGGGGGAATAAAGAATATAGGGTATGCATACACCATGGAATACTACTCAACCATAAAAAGGAACAAAATAATGTCTTTTATAGCAAATTGGAAGTAGCTTTAAACCATTATTCTAAGTGAAGTAACTAAAAAGGTGAAACCAAATGTTACATGTTCTCACAAGTAGGAGGTAAGTAAGCTCTCTGGGTACAAAAAGGCTTGCAGAGTGGTATAATAAATGTAAGAGACTCAGAAGAAGTGAAGTTGGGAGGGGGTGGAGTATAAGAAACTATACATTGGGTAGACTGTACACTACTTGGGTGTTGGGTGCACTAAAATTTTGGACATCACCACTGTACAATTCCCTCGTATAATGAAAACCACATGTACACCCAAAGATATTGAAACAAAAAATTAGAAAATAATAGTACTCATTGTGACTGGTGTGAAGAAAGTATCAGATTGCAGTTTTGATGTGAATTTTTCTGATGATTCATGATTTTTAACATCACTAAGCATTATCAAGGGGTTTGTTAATGATCATAAAAATCAAGGGCTCGGCCGGGCGCGGTGGATCATGCCTGTAATCCCAGCACTTTGGGAGGCTGAGGCGGGCAGATCACGAGGTCAGGAGATCGAGACCATCCTGGCCAACATGGTGAAACCCCGTCTCTACTAAAAATACAAAAAATTAGCCAGGCATGGTGGCGGGCACCTGTAGTCCCAGCTACTCGGGATGCTGAGGCAGGAGAATGGCGTGAACCCAGGAGGCAGAGCTTGCAGTGAGCCGAGATCGCACCACAGGACTCCAGCCTGGGCCACAGAGTCCTGTGTCTTCTTTTGAGAAATGTCTTGTGTGTCTTCTTTTGAGAAATGTCTGTTCATTTATTCTGGTCATTTTAAAGGGGATGTTTGCGTTTGCTTGTTGAATTGGTTAAGTTTCTTATAGATTCTGGATATTAGACCTTTTTCAAATGCATAGTTTCCAAATATCTTATTCTATTATGTAGGTTTTCTGTTGGTAGACTCTGTTGATACTTTATTTTGCTGTGCAGAAGCTCTTTAGTTTAATTAGGTCTCACTTGTCATATTTTGTTTTAGTTCATTTCATTGATTATTATGATTCTTTAGGATATTTTACTATGTTAGACTGTCTCCACCTTCTTCTTTCAAGGCACTGACTTTTAGAAGACCTGATCTTCTCAAATGTTCATAAAAATGCTTTTTAATGTATGATGCTGGAATTATTTTACTTTTTGCCCACAGCATAATTTCAAACCATCCCTTCTATCTTCAAATTATGCCAACTTCTTGCTCCTCCACTCTTGGTAGATGACTTACCTGTTTATTTTCCTGCTAATGGTTTTGTGTTGTCATTGTTTTATTTTTATTCGCTACTTGTCTTTTTACCAGTGCCAGATTCAGTATTGTTTTCTAGGGTCCTATCCTGTAGAGTTTCTGCGTAGGGTTTGTAGTCATGCACCTTAAAAAAGTGAATGAATTGAAGTTTATCTTTGGCGCTCATAGTCTATTGAGTCTATTAGCAAAAACAATAATTATCAAGGTTTAGAGTTTCTTCTACCTGATGTGTAAATCATCATTTGTAATAAGTTTAACTGAACTCAACAAACATATATTGAGCACCTATGATACCTGTCCTATTTATGCAATTTTCTGATTAGAACAAGGCACATCTTTAAAGTGCTCAGTGACAAAATGGCTTAACTAACAA